>NC_000012.12:112611643-112763158 GCF_000001405.40 Homo sapiens
CCATGTTGGTCAGGCTGGTCTTGAACTCCTGACTTCAGGTTATCCACCTACCTCAGCCTCCCGAAGTGCTGGGATTACAGGTATGAGCCACTGTGCCCAGCCAGGGCTGTTGTTATTTTTTACTTCAATATTTAATTCTAGCAATAGAAATACTCTTATGTAACTAGCATTGTCCTAGCCAGCAAGAAAAAAAAAAAGGGAAAAATAATTAGAGTCCCTTCAATGAAATTAGCAGCCTGCAGTAGGGTAACTGTCCCTCCTACTCCTTAATTTAAATGGATGTGCTTATGGCTAGCGGCTAAAGCATTTGTCAAATATAGGCACATCCGCCAGAATTTCAGTTGTCACTACCACATTTCCTCTGATCTTGTGTGGCATTCTTGGAACCGTAATGAAATCCGGGCTATAAAGACTCCAGTGAAGAAATAAAGTGGAAACAAAACAGCCTTTTGCCAACCCACGCTCTGCTTTAAATAAGGAGCAATGTCTATTGAATAACTCAGCCCCGCCTGTCAAAATATTTTTTGGGGGGGTGGGCTATTCATTTGGAATTACTCCAGGAGGCCTTTAATTAGAGCCTTTACTGCATTTGCAGTGCTGAAATGAGTCCATGTGCTTCTTGCTTGATCTTCCACATCACGACTCTGGCTTTTGAAAGGCCCTGTTGGTGTAATTGAGGTTAAGTGTAGTTACTCTGCTTCTGAGAACACACACCCCTTTAACGGGCCCGAGAAACAGGGTAGAAAACTTGCAATGGTTTTTCCTCTTGGGAAGTTGTTAGCACCTCACATTTGCTCCGTTAAACTTTTCACCTGTGATTGGGGTTCTCTTTTCTGTCCCTGGGGTTCCCTGAGGAGTGTCTGGGCCCTAGAGGATCCTAGGAAGAGTGTCTGGGCCCTAAAGAGGGAGTTTTGCCTTTTTTTTTTTTTTTTTTTTTTTGAGACAGGGTCTCACTCTGTCACCCAGGCTGGAGTGCAATGACGTGATCTCGGCTCCCTGCAACCTCAACTTCCTGGGCTCAAGTGATCCCCCTGCCCCAGCCTCCTGAGCAGCTGGGACTACAGGTGTGCACTGCCATGCCCAGCTAATTTTTGTATTTTTCTTTTTTTTTTGTAGAGACTGGAGTTTCATCAGATTGCCCAAGCTGGTTTTGAACTCCTGGGCTCAAGCGATCTGCCTGCCTCAGCTTCCCAAAGTGTTGGGATTACAGGTGTGAGCCACAGCATCCAGCCTGAGTTTTACTTTTTAAACTCTAGGATATCCAAGGTGAAGTCCAAAGAGAGCACCCAGGTATAAACAAGATTATTCTGGAAGGGCTGGCTTGTGGCCAGTTTCTACCTTTCCGATAATAATGATAATGATGATGATGATGATAATTCCTGTCTAATGAGCTCTAGTTCTACACTGGGTCTGTGTTAAGCCCTTTCTCTACATAACCTCATTTAACCTGCACAACAGCCCTGTGAGGTGGATCTAATTATTCCCACTTCACAGATGAGGAAACTGAGACTCATAAAGGGCCAAGTGCATGGCCAAGGACACAAATCTGGTATGGGTCATTGTTGAGATTGAAGCCCGGGACTTTCTAACTCTAAAGCCTGCTGAGTTTGTTGCGGAGTGGGCTTTTGGTGAATCCCCCTGTGTAATGGTTGGAGAGACCAGGTCGTTGCCTTCCTGGAAAGGAGGTGTCAGGGATATTCTTGGTGGCCTCGCGGTTCTAAGAATGGACTCTGCAGTTAGACCTGGAGATTTGGATCCTGGCTCTGCCTCTGACCAGCTATGGTTGATGGAGTAATGGCTCCCAAAGATGTCCATGTCCTAATTCTGGAGCCCATGGATATGTTACCTTCCAGCAAAAGGGACTTTGCAGATGTGATTAAGGATCTTGAGATGTAGAGATGATCCTGGATTATCCAGGTGAGCCCAATCCATCACCCAGATCCTTATAAAAGGGAAGCAGAACCTGGGCAACATAGTGAGACCCTGTCTTTACTAAAAACAAACAAAATTAGCCAGGTGTGATGGTGCATGCCTGTAGACCCAGCTACTTGGTGGTGAGGGTGGGGGTCTGATGGGGGAGGATCTTTTGGGCCTATGAGTTCAAGACCAGGCTGGACAACATAGCAAGACCCTGCCTCTGCAAAAAATTAACTAGCTGGATGTGGTGGTACACGCCTGTAATCCCAGCTACTCAGGAGACTGAGGCGAGAGGATTGCTTGAGCCCAGGAGGTGGAGGCTGTAGTGAGTTATGATTGCACCACTGCACTCTAGGATGGGTGACAGAGTGAGATCCTGTCTCTAAAGAAAAGCAAGAAGTAGGGTCAGAGATAAGAGGAGACATGATGATAGCAGAGATTGGGCTGATACGCTTTGAAGTTAGAGGAAGGGACCACGAGCCAAGGAATGCTTGTAAACCACTACAAGCTGAAAAAGGCAAAGAAATGGATTCTCCCTTCAGAGCTTCTAGAAGGAACCAGCTCCCCTGGCACCTTGACTTGAGCCCAGTGAAACTGATTTTGGACTTCTGACTTCCAGAACTGTAAGAGAATAAATTTGCATTGTTGAAATCTCCTAAATTTGTGGCAATTTGTCACAGCAGCAATGGGAAATAGAACACCAGATGTTTGTCCTTGGGGTAGTGAATAAATCTCCCTGAGCCTCAATTCCATCATCTGTGAAATGGGAATAATAATATCAATGCCCACATCATAGCGTGATAGTGGAGATAAAAGTTGATGCATATAAGATCCTTTGTGGGGCTGGGCATGGTGGCTCACTCCTGTAATCCCAGCACCTTGGGAGGCTGAGGCGGGTAGATCACTTGAGCCCAGAAGTTTGAGACCAGCCTGGACATCACGGTGTAACCCTGTCTCTATTAAAAAAAAAAAAAAGCAAAATACGGGCATGGTGATGCACACCTGTAGTCCCAGTTACTTGGGAGGCTGAGGTGAGAGAATCTCCTGAGCCCGGGAAGTCCAGGCTGCAGTGAGCAGAGATCACATCACTGTACTCTAGCCTGAGGGACAGGAGTGAGACCCTGCCTCAAAAAAAAAAAAAAAAAAAAAAAAAAAAAGGAAGAAAAAGATCCAAGATCCATTTTGTATTATGTGCTGATTGAATGTTAGATATCACTACTACTAGTACTATTATTATCTTTAGAGTTGGAGTCTTGCTTTGTCTCCCAGGCTGGAGTGTGGTGGTGCGATCATGGCTCACTGCAGTCTTGAACTCTTGGGCTCAAGTGAGCCTCCTCTCTCAGCCTCCTGAGTTGCTGGGATTACAGGGAGCTTCTGTGGCTGGCTGTATTATTATTAATGCTAATATGAAAATAAGCATGACCATGAAAGAACCCCAAAACAAAAACCAACAGAGGAACAATTTACTGTTGAACTCATCCACATCCTCTATGTGGGGTTCTTATACTACTTTATACTGGGGGCTTATATATTGATCTGTGTATTCCCTATAATATTCCAGCACCTTGATGGGATCTGGCACATAGTAGGTGCTGCAAAAATACCTAAGGCATGACATGATTAAAGACAGAAAATATGTGTTTCTGTGCTATTTTTTTTTCTGTTAGAAGCTTTGTTGTTTTGAGGGGAGTCTTGCAGACCCTCGCAAAACTACAGACCTGTTGTGTGAAGATGGGCTGGCTTCCTGCCCCCAGCCATCTGGTGAACCCTGGCACCACCTCCTTGGGGCCTCCAGTGATTGTTCCCCACACGCACTGCCAGCCCTTTCTCTCAGCCTCCTGGCACTTGGCTCCAGCTCCTGGCTCTGGCCACTAGAGAGGTGGTCTCCATGGTAACAGTTTTGGGGGGCATTGAGAGGGAGCAAAGAAGGAAAAGGTATCATGCCAGCCAGCCAGCCCTTGTTAGGGACCCACTCATACCAGGGTGCTTGTTCCTGTACCTCCGCTAGAGATCTCGGCTGCAGAAAGGCAGGTCCAGGAGCAGGTGGAGAGGTGCTGGTGCTTGTCTTTTGGCGACTTCTTTTTGTACCTTGCCTTCTCTTTTTGCCCTCTTCTGCACTTGACGACCGTGTCCAAGGATCTCAGTGCTTTCAAAGAACCATAGTTATCCACTGCTGCCAACTGAAGGCTCTGGAAATTCAAGTTGGCTGTCCCATTTACTGGTGGGGTGAGCTGTGGAGTAAGTTACTTCACCTCCCTGACCTCAGTTTTATCATCTATAAAATGGGGTTTTCATAAACATGAAGAGAATCTGTGAAGCCCTTAGAATGACGCCTGGCAGCTAGTAAGTGCTCAATAAGGTTTTATCTATATTGTCTGTTGTTTGAGATGGGGGCACTGAGGTCTGGATCTTGTCCCTAGGACCCTCTGTGGCATCAACCCTCATCAACTCTATTCTCCTTGCCAATGGGAGCAGCTTCTTCTCTGGGCTTCTTTTCTCCAGTCAAAACATATCTGTCTGTTGTCTTCCATCCTCAGAGCCCTGCCGAGCAACTGGTTTATCTCTGATAAATGGATCCATTCTTTTTTTGTTTTTGTTATTTTTGAGACAGAATCTTGCTCTGTCACTCAAGCTGGAGTGCAGTGGCATGGTCTCGGCTCACTGCAACCTCCGCCTCCCGGGTTCAAGCGATTCTCCTGCCTCAGCCTCCCGAACAGCTGGGATTACAGGCACCTGCCACCATGCCTGGCTAATTTTTGTATTTTTAGTAGAGACGGGGTTTTGCCATGTTGGCCAGGCTGGTCTCGAACTCCTGACCTCAAGTGATCCTCCTGCCTCGGCCTCCCAAAGTGCTGGGATTGCAGGTGTGAGCCACCGCGCGCAGTCTGGATCCATTCTTGAATGTTCATGGCTGAGTTGGAGACTTTTCAAAATGTTTTTGCATCTTAGAAGAGAATTCCCAGAGACAATAATACCTTAATTCCAAGACAAAATCTTGGGAGAGAAAAAGTTTCCAGGCACCAGGCAGTGGGAGGATTAAAAAATAACAGAGGTGTCACTGAAGCTCAGAGAAGTTAAGCAATGTGCTCAGGGCCACACAGCAGGTTAAGTTGTGAAGCTGACATTTGAACCTAAGTCTGCTTTTCAATGGACCTCAAGGAACATTCTCCTTTCCTTTCTCACCTGATCTCTTAAGTATCCACCCAGAGTGATGGACAGGAGTGATCAGCTGTCAGATGCCTTAAAACCAGTGGCCAAATGCTGATCCAACAGCTGAAATTTGGGAGCCTGCAGCTTCCTGGCAGAGACAAAGGAGACTACAGTCTTTCTCAGCTCAGCTGGGAGAACAGACTTTATCGAGAGCATCCCTTCCTCCCTGGGAAGGTTTGAGAGGCATTTGTAATGCAGATTTTGACTCTGGGCAAGGACCCAGCTCCCCATCCTCACCTCTGGCTGAGCCATTTAAAAAAATACAAGAAGACAGTTTTTTCCCTCCTGAGCCCTGAGGTCTGAGGCTGAAGTAGATGAGCTTCCTGCAGCCTAAGCTCTTTCTCTCTCCCTGTTTGAAGCACATCTCTGCTCCCGGTTTGTCCCCTGCTTTCCTTAGGGAGCTGGAGGTGTCAGGAAGAGAAAGGGGTGTAAAGAATAACACCGGAGACTCTGGGGTCAGAGATGGCGAGTGAGCATTCCTGCTGGTCCCTGCATGTAATTAAGACTTGCAAATCCACGCTGCTGAGGTGTTGGTGGCAGTATAATTAATCCCAGGCTCCTTGGGGTGGCTCAGCATCCCCAAATGGCCACCCTTGTCATTTAGCCAGCCTCAGTAGGATGAGCTTGGACAAAGGCTGGTTGGATTCAGGTTGCTGTGGGCATAGCTGAGCTCATTCACTTACTCACTCACCCATTCACTCACTCACCTGTTCATTTATTCCCCAGATACTTACAAAGTACCTTTTATAGGCTCAATATCAGAGAGAAAAAGTGAACAGCTGCTGTCCTCCATGGCTCCCAGAACAGTGAATTCTCCTCAAGTGGCAAGTGCTGAAATAACGGAAGGAACAAAGTTTAATTGCAATGCAGAGGAGGAGTTTTTATTTCTGCCTCGGAGACTTCCTGGAGGAAGTGGCACTTGAGTTGTCTTTTTTCTTTCTTCTTTTGAGACAGGTTCTTGCTCTGTTGCCCAGGCTGGACTGCAGTGGCACCAGCATGGCTCACTGCAGCCTCGACCCCCTAGGCTCAAGTGATCCTCCTGCTTCAGCCTCCTGAGTAGCTGGGACCACAGGTGCGTGCTACCACACCCAGCCTGAGTTGTCTTTTTTACCTTTAAGAATGACAAAATCGTTCATGCTTATTGTGATAAATCTAAATAAGGCAGAAGAGTGTAAAGGAAACACAAATCTTCTCCTTCCTTGATGTCAGTTCTACCTCTGGCATTTATCCTTTTGGAGTACTTTCTACATTTATGTATACACATATCCCAGATGTCAGCTTCCAAGTCTTAGTGTGATTTGTGATTTTCCCTATGCCAACCCCCCATGAGAATCTAGCATGTCTCCGAATTCTTGCAGAAGAATTCATCCCATGCACACAGCACTGGGGAGCAATGCAGAGCTTATAGAAGCCTTCTTAGAGGAGGCAGAGGAAGAGATTATACTGTGAGGCACCCCTAAGTCACCCCCTGCCCTTGGCCTTGTCACTGCAGGGGCTTCTTCTCCCTCAGTCTCACCTGCTTCTCCTCCTGTCCCAGGTCTCTTCCCTAAATTTCCTGTTGCTATTCTGCAGAGCAATTCCACAGTGCACCAGATCCTGCTTCAATCGCAAGCCCAGTTCATCACAGGCTGCAACTAACAAAGGACCCTCCAGTAAAGATGACCCTCCCCCTTAGAAGGCAGTTTTGGGATCATATCTTGCTAGTTGGGCAGGTCTGAGGCTCCCACCCTCTCTAAGTTGCTTACTGAAATGTTTCTTCCTCACAAGTACATTGCCCATTTCAAGAGGAACCCTGGGGAATTAAATAGTCTCCATCTTGTAACGTAGAGACTCATACATGTAATTGTTTTTTTAATCATATTTATTTATTACCAAAGTAGGATCATACTACACATATTATTTTATAATTTGCCTTTGAAAATAGCTTTATTGAGATATAATTCTTATACCATACAATTTGTCCATGTAAAGCGAGCCACTCAATTATTTTAGTATGTTCACAGGGTTGTATGACTATCTCCACACGTAATTTTAGAACATTTTGGTCTCTCCTAAAAGAAACCCATTAGCAGTAACTACACGTTTTCCTTGCCCTTCCCTTGGTCCCTGGCAACCTCTACTTTACTTTCTGTTTCTTTAGATTTGCCTATTCTGGACATTTCATATAAATGGAATAATATAATATTTGTCCTTTTGCGACTGGCGTCTTTCACTTAGCATCGTGTTTTCAAGGTTCATCTGTGTTAAAGCATGAATCGGTGCTTCCTTCCCTTTTCAGTTTGAATAACGTTTCATTAGATGGGTATATCACATTTTATTTATCTGTTCCTCAGTTGATAGACATTTGTGTTGTTTCTACTTTTTGGCTATTATAAATAATGCTGCTGATAACATTGGTGTTCAAGTTTTTGTGTAGACATATGTTTTCAGTTCTCTTGGGTATATACCCAGGAATGGAATTGCCTTATGGTAATTCTGTGTGTGTGTGTGTGTGTGTGTGTGTGTGTGTGTGTGTGTGTGTGTGTGTGTTTTGAGATGGAGTTTTGCTCTTGTTGCCCAGGCTGAAGTGCAATGGCACAACCTCAGCCCATTGCAACCTCTGCCTCCCAGGTTCAAGTGATTCTCGTGCCTCAGCCTCCTGAGTAGCTGGGATTACAGGCATGCTATCATGCCCAGCTAATTTTGTATTTTTAGTAGAGATGGGGTTTCACCGTGTTGGCCAGGCTGGTCTCGAACTCCTGACCTCAAGTGATCTGCCCACCTTGGCCTCCCAAAGTGCTAGGATTACAGGCGTGAGCTACCGTGCCTGGCCTAATTCTATGTTAAATATTTTGAGAAACTGTGAAATTATTTTTCAAAGCAACTGCACCATTTGATGTTTCCACCAGCAGTGTATGAGGGTTCCACTTTCTTCACATCTTTGCCAACCTTTGTTATTGTCTTTTTTTTTGATTATAGACATCCTAGTGAGTATGAAGTCTGATTTGCTTTTTTTGCTTATTAATAAACATGGACATATTTCCAGATCAACAGGTAGTGACCTACCTAATTCTTTTTAGTGGCATAATAATATTCTATTGGATAAATATACCCTACTGATTTTATCAATTCCCTTTCTGAATTAGTCAGACTTATTTTTTCCGAGTTACCAAAACAGTCCAACCCAAACTGGCACAAGCTAAATAGTTCACATAACTAAAATGTCTAGGACACCTCAAGCTTCAGGTGTGGCTTGATCCAAGTAGCAAGTGAAGTCACCAAAATCCTTTCTTCACCTCCAGACTTTGCTTTGTTTGTGTGGGCTTCATTTACAGAATAAGCTGCCCCTGTGATGGTGTGATGATTGCCAGCAACTTCTGTTCAAATCCTTCTGAAAATAATGTTTCCCAGTAGTTCCTGCAGTGGTTCTGAGATTCACTCTGATTGGCTTGGCTGAAGTCATCTGTTTATCCCTAAGCCAACATGTTTTCATGGTGCTCTATGCTTGGAGCTGAGCATACAGGCCCATGCAGATCACATGGTCCAAGTAGGGATGGGGTAGATATCCAAGTGAAAATCAGGGGCAGTTGCTGGAGGAAGAGGTGTGGATACTGAGCAGATTAATTACAAATGCTCATTATACTCACTGAGTTTTCACTGGGCTTCCAGGACACCACATTCTCCTGGTCGTTTCCTTCCATCTCTAAACAGCATCATGTCCTAGGACTGAGTCCTTCCATCCTTCTCCACCTACATTTGACTTAAAGTGCCCTCTCAGTGTATATGATTTCAAAATTTGTTGTTTCCAGCCTGGCGGGTCCCCTAAGCTCTAGACCTGCACAGCTAACTGCTTAGTCAGTACCGCCACTAGGATGAACTTCTCGTAGGAACTTCATATGGAACTTCTCATAGGAAGTTCAAAGTTAGCATGTTCACATCCAAACTCCTGATATTCACTCTCTCGACACAGACCCTGCTCCTTCCGTGGTCTTGCCACTGCCATTAACTGGCCACTCCATCCTTCCCATTGCTCAGACCCCAAACCTGGAGTCATCCTTGATTCCTCTCCTTCTTTCCTACTCCACATCCAATTCATCAACCAATCCTGTCTGCTCCACATTTAAGCCATATATAGAATCTGAGCACTTCTTACCACCTCCATTGCCATCACCCGGGGCCAACTCACTGCCAGTAGTCTCTGGCCCTCCTCAGCCTGTTCTGTTTTAGTTCCCACATATCTTCCTATTTTTTAACATTATTATTTTTTTTTTTTTGTAGAGATAGGGTCTTGCTATGTTACCTAGGCTGGTCTTGAACTCCTAGGCTCAAGCAATCCTTGTGCCTTGGCCTCCAAAAGCCTTGGGACTATAGACATGAGCCACCGTGCCTGGCCAATTAATTCCTTCAGTGACTGTTTACTGAGCAGCTACTTAAAAAATATTTGGGTTGGAGGAGCCAAGATGGCCGAATAGGAACAGCTCCGGTCTACAGCTCCCAGCGTGAGCGACGCAGAAGACGGGTGATTTCTGCATTTCCATCTGAGGTACCGGGTTCATCTCACTAGGGAGTGCCAGACAGTGGGCGCAGGCCAGTGGGTGCGCGCACCGTGCGCGAGCCGAAGCAGGGCGAGGCATTGCCTCACCTGGGAAGCGCAAGGGGTCAGGGAGTTCCCTTTCCGAGTCAAAGAAAGGGGTGACGGACGCACCTGGAAAATCGGGTCACTCCCACCCGAATATTGCGCTTTTCAGACCGGCTTAAAAAACGGCGCACCACGAGACTATATCCCACACCTGGCTCGGAGGGTCCTACGCCCACGGAGTCTCTCTGATTGCTAGCACAGCATTCTGAGATCAAACTGCAAGGCGGCAGCGAGGCTGGGGGAGGGGCGCCCGCCATTGCCCAGGCTTGCTTAGGTAAACAAAGCAGCCAGGAAGCTCGAACTGGGTGGAGCCCACCACAGTTCAAGGAGGCCTGCCTGCCACTGTAGGCTTCACCTCTGGGGGCAGGGCACAGACAAACAAAAAGACAGCAGTAACCTCTGCAGACTTAAATGTCCCTGTCTGACAGCTTTGAAGAGAGCAGTGGTTCTCCCAGCATGCAGCTGGAGATCTGAGAACGGGCAGACTGCCTCCTCAAGTGGGTCCCTGACCCCTGACCCCTGAGCAGCCTAACTGGGAGGCACCCCCCAGCAGGGGCACACTGACACCTCACACGGCAGGGTATTCCAACAGACCTGCAGCTGAGGGTCCTGTCTGTTAGAAGGAAAAATAACAAACAGAAAGGACATCCACACCGAAAACCCATCTGTACATCACCATCATCAAAGACGAAAAGTAGATAAAACCACAAAGATGGGGAAAAAACAGAACAGAAAAACTGGAAACTCTAAAACGCAGAGCGCCTCTCCTCCTCCAAAGGAACGCAGTTCCTCACCAGCAACGGAACAAAGCTGGATGGAGAATGATTTTGACGAGCTGAGAGAAGAAGGCTTCAGACGATCAAATGACTCTGAGCTACGGGAGGACATTCAAACCAAAGGCAAAGAAGTTGAAAACTTTGAAAAAAATTTAGAAGAATGTATAACTAGAATAACCAATACAGAGAAGTGCTTAAAGGAGCTGATGGAGCTGAAAACCAAGGCTCGAGAACTACGTGAAGAATGCAGAAGCCTCAGGAGCCGATGCGATCAACTGGAAGAAAGGGTATCAGCAATGGAAGATGAAATGAATGAAATGAAGCGAGAAGGGAAGTTTAGAGAAAAAAGAATAAAAAGAAATGAGCAAAGCCTCCAAGAAATATGGGACTATGTGAAAAGACCAAATGTACGTCTGATTGGTGTACCTGAAAGTGATGTGGAGAATGGAACCAAGTTGGAAAACACTCTGCAGGATATTATCCAGGAGAACTTCCCCAACCTAGCAAGGCAGGCCAACATTCAGATTCAGGAAATACAGAGAATGCCACAAAGATACTCCTCGAGAAGAGCAACTCCAAGACACATAATTGTCAGATTCACCAAAGTTGAAATGAAGGAAAAAATGTTAAGGGCAGCCAGAGAGAAAGGTCGGGTTACCCTCAAAGGGAAGCCCATCAGACTAACAGCAGATCTCTCGGCAGAAACCCTACAAGCCAGAAGAGAGTGGGGGCCAATATTCAACATTCTTAAAGAAAAGAATTTTCAACCCAGAATTTCATATCCAGCCAAACTAAGCTTCATAAGTGAAGGAGAAATAAAATACTTTACAGACAAGCAAATGCTGAGAGATTTTGTCACCACCAGGCCTGCCCTAAAAGAGCTCCTGAAGGAAGCGCTAAACATGGAAAGGAACAACCGGTACCAGCCACTGCAAAATCATGCCAAAATGTAAAGACAATCGAGACTAGGAAGAAACTGCATCAACTAACGAGCAAAATAACCAGCTAACATCATAATGACAGGATCAAATTCACACATAACAATATTAACTTTAAATGTAAATGGACTAAATTCTCCAATTAAAAGACACAGACTGGCAAGTTGGATAAAGAGTCAAGACCCATCAGTGTGCTGTATTCAGGAAACCCATCTCACGTGCAGAGACATACATAGGCTCAAAATAAAAGGATGGAGGAAGATCTACCAAGCAAATGGAAAACAAAAAAAGGCAGGGGTTGCAATCCTAGTCTCTGATAAAACAGACTTTAAACCAACAAAGATCAAAAGAGACAAAGAAGGCCATTACATAATGGTAAAGGGATCAATTCAACAAGAGGAGCTAACTATCCTAAATATATATGCACCCAATACAGGAGCACCCAGATTCATAAAGCAAGTCCTGAGCGACCTACAAAGAGACTTAGACTCCCACACATTAATAATGGGAGACTTTAACACCCCACTGTCAACATTAGACAGATCAACGAGACAGAAAGTCAACAAGGATACCCAGGAATTGAACTCAGCTCTGCACCAAGCGGACCTAATAGACATCTACAGAACTCTCCACCCCAAATCAACAGAATATACATTTTTTTCAGCACCACACCACACCTATTCCAAAATTGTCCACATAGTTGGAAGTAAAGCTCTCCTCAGCAAATGTAAAAGAACAGAAATTATAACAAACTATCTCTCAGACCACAGTGCAATCAAACTAGAACTCAGGATTAAGAATCTCACTCAAAGCCGCTCAACTACATGGAAACTGAACAACCTGCTCCTGAATGACTACTGGGTACATAACGAAATGAAGGCAGAAATAAAGATGTTCTTTGAAACCAACGAGAACAAAGACACAACATACCAGAATCTCTGGGACATATTCAAAGCAGTGTGTAGAGGGAAATTTATAGCACTAAATGCCCACAAGAGAAAGCAGGAAAGATCCAAAATTGACACCCTAACATCACAATTAAAAGAACTAGAAAAGCAAGAGCAAACACATTCAAAAGCTAGCAGAAGGCAAGAAATAACTAAAATCAGAGCAGAACTGAAGGAAATAGAGACACAAAAAACCCTTCAAAAAATCAATGAATCCAGGAGCTAGTTTTTTGAAAGGATCAACAAAATTGATAGACCGCTAGCAAGACTAATAAAGAAAAAAAGAAGAATCAAATAGACACAATAAAAAATGATAAAGGGGATATCACCACCGATCCCACAGAAATACAAACTACCATCAGAGAATACTACAAACACCTCTACGCAAATAAACTAGAAAATCTAGAAGAAATGGATACATTCCTCAACACATACACTCTCCCAAGACTAAACCAGGAAGAAGTTGAATCTCTGAATAGACCAATAACAGGAGCTGAAATTGTGGCAATAATCAATAGTTTACCAACCAAAAAGAGTCCAGGACCAGATGGATTCACAGCCGTATTCTACCAGAGGTACAAGGAGGAACTGGTACCATTCCTTCTGAAACTATTTCAATCAATAGAAAAAGAGGGAATCCTCCCTAACTCATTTTATGAGGCCAGCATCATTCTGATACCAAAGCCGGGCAGAGACACAACCAAAAAAGAGAATTTTAGACCAATATCCTTGATGAACATTGATGCAAAAATCCTCAATAAAATACTGGCAAACCGAATCCAGCAGCACATCAAAAAGCTTATCCACCATGATCAAGTGGGCTTCATCCCTGGGATGCAAGGCTGGTTCAATATACGCAAATCAATAAATGTAATCCAGCATATAAACAGAGCCAAAGACAAAAACCACATGATTATCTCAATAGATGCAGAAAAAGCCTTTGACAAAATTCAACAACACTTCATGCTAAAAACTCTCAATAAATTAGGTATTGATGGGACGTATTTCAAAATAATAAGAGCTATCTATGACAAACCCACAGCCAATATCATACTGAATGGGCAAAAACCGGAAGCATTCCCTTTGAAAACTGGCACAAGACAGGGATGCCCTCTCTCACCGCTCCTATTCAACATAGTGTTGGAAGTTCTGGCCAGGGCAATCAGGCAGGAGAAGGAAATAAAGGGTATTCAATTAGGAAAAGAGGAAGTCAAATTGTCCCTGTTTGCAGACGACATGATTGTTTATCTAGAAAACCCCATCGTCTCAGCCCAAAATCTCCTTAAGCTGATAAGCAACTTCAGCAAAGTCTCAGGATACAAAATCAATGTACAAAAATCACAAGCATTCTTATACACCAACAACAGACAAACAGAGAGCCAAATCATGAGTGAACTCCCATTCACAATTGCTTCAAAGAGAATAAAATACCTAGGAATCCAACTTACAAGGGATATGAAGGACCTCTTCAAGGAGAACTACAAACCACTGCTCAAGGAAATAAAAGAGGATACAAACAAATGGAAGAACATTCCATGCTCATGGGTAGGAAGAATCAATATCGTGAAAATGGCCATACTGCCCAAGGTAATTTATAGATTCAATGCCATCCCCATCAAGCTACCAATGACTTTCTTCACAGAATTGGAAAAAACTACTTTAAAGTTCATATGGAACCAAAAAAGAGCCTGCATCGCCAAGTCAATCCTAAGCCAAAAGAACAAAGCTGGAGGCATCACACTACCTGACTTCAAACTATACTACAAGGCTACATTAACCAAAACAGCATGGTACTGGTACCAAAACAGAGATATAGATCAATGGAACAGAACAGAGCCCTCAGAAATAACGCCGCATACCTACAACTATCTGATCTTTGACAAACCTGAGAAAAACAAGCAATGGGGAAAGGATTCCCTATTTAATAAATGGTGCTGGGAAAACTGGCTAGCCATATGTAGAAAGCTGAAACTGGATCCCTTCCTTACACCTTATACAAAAATCAATTCAAGATGGATTAAAGATTTAAACGTTAGACCTAAAACCATAAAAACCCTAGAAGAAAACCTAGGCATTACCATTCAGGACATAGGCGTGGGCAAGGACTTCATGTCCAAAACACCAAAAGCAATGGCAACAAAAGCCAAAATTGACAAATGGGATCTAATTAAACTAAAGAGCTTCTGCACAGCAAAAGAAACTACCATCAGAGTGAACAGGCAACCTACAACATGGGAGAAAATTTTCGCAACCTACTCATCTGACAAAGGGCTAATATCCAGAATCTACAATGAACTCAAACAAATTTACAAGAAAAAAACAAACAACCCCATCAAAAAGTGGGCGAAGGACATGAACAGACACTTCTCAAAAGAAGACATTTATGCAGCCAAAAAACACATGAAAAAATGCTCATCATCACTGGCCATCAGAGAAATGCAAATCAAAACCACTATGAGATATCATCTCACACCAGTTAGAATGGCAATCATTAAAAAGTCAGGAAACAACAGGTGCTGGAGAGGATATGGAGAAATAGGAACACTTTTACACTGTGGGTGGGACTGTAAACTAGTTCAACCATTGTGGAAGTCAGTGTGGCGATTCCTCAGGGATCTAGAACTAGAAATACCATTTGACCCAGCCATCCCATTACTGGGTATATACCCAAATGACTATAAATCATGCTGCTATAAAGACACATGCACACGTATGTTTATTGCAGCATTATTCACAATAGCAAAGACTTGGAACCAACCCAAATGTCCAACAATGATAGACTGGATTAAGAAAATGTGGCACATATACACCATGGAATACTATGCAGCCATAAAAAATGATGAGTTCATGTCCTTTGTAGGGACATGGATGAAATTGGAAACCATCATTCTCAGTAAACTATCGCAAGAACAAAAAACCAAACACCGCATATTCTCACTCATAGGTGGGAATTGAACAATGAGATCACATGGACACAGGAAGGGGAATATCACACTCTGGGGACTGTGGTGGGGTGGGGGGAGGGGGGAGGGATAGCATTGGGAGATATACCTAATGCTAGATGACGAGTTAGTGGGTGCAGCGCACCAGCATGGCACATGTATACATATGTAACTAACCTGCACAATGTGCACATGTACCCTAAAACTTAAAGTATAATAAAAATAATTTAAAAAAAATATTTGTATTATGCACTATACATTTATATTATATTATGATCACATGCAATACAGAATTGTAATACAACATATACTATAGTTTTATGTAATATATAGTATTTATTACCTGTCATTATGTACTATATATTATATGTAACATAATATAAATTATTATATATAAATATTTAATAATATTTCATTATGATGTAATTGTATGTAACAATTGCAATATCATATGATTACATATCATATAATATGTAGGTATAATATACATTATATAATACATAGTGTTATATATTGTGTCAATACTCTTTATGTTTATATTATATAGCATATTTAGTATAGCATTTATTTATTGTGCCAGACACTCTTCTAGGTGGCAAGAACAGACTAGAGAAAGATCCCTGCTCTTCCAGTGCTGACATTCTAGTGGGAGAGATGAACATATTATATGGGATGCTGGCAGTGGTAGGTGCTATGGAGAAAGATAAAACTGAGAAAAGAAAAGTAGACTGTGGATGAGGTTTGGGTATGTCTGCTATTTTAGGGAGGGAGGTCAGGGAAGCCTTCCCTAACAAGGCATATTAGTCCATTCTCACATTACTATAAAGAACTACCTGAGACTGGGTAATTTGTAAAGAAAAGAGGTTTACTTGGCTCGTGGTCCCACAGCCTGCACAGGAAGCATGGCTGGGGAAGCCTCAGGAAACTGACAATCAGGGCGGAAGGCAAAGGGGAAGAAGGAATGTCTTATGTGGCTGGAGCAGGAGCAAGAGATCAAAGGGCCGGGGGCGGGGGTTGCTACACATTTTTAAACAACCAGATCTTGCAAGAACTCACTCACTGTCACAAGAACGGCAAGAGGGAAATTCACCCCCATGATCCAATCACCCACCAGGCCCCCCCTCCAACAATGAGGATTGCAATTTGACATGAGATTTGGGCAGGGACACAAATCCAAACCATATCACAAGGTGACGTTTGAGCAGAGATCAGGAGAAAGTTCGAGAGTGAGGCATGTTAATAATGAGGGAAGAGTGTTCTGCACAGAGGAACAGCAAGTGCAAAGGCCCTGAGGTTGGAGTCTGCCTGGAATGTTTAGGTAAAAGCAAGGAAGCTAATTTGCTTGGTGGTGGAGCAAGTAAGGAGAGGGGAGAGTAATGAGAGACAAAGTCAGTGAAACGGGGCAGATTGGGAAGAGCCTTGGAGCCACTCTGGGACTTTGGTTGTCCCTCTGATTAAGAAGGGGACCCATGGCATGCCTATAATCACAGCACTTTGGGAAGCTGAAGTGGGAGGCTTGCTTGAGGCCAGGAGTTGGAGACTAGTCTGGGAAACATTGCAAGGCCTGTCTTTACCACAAAAAAAAAAAAAAAAAAAAAAAAAAAAAAAAAAAAAAAAAATCAGCAGGGTGGGGTGGTGCATATCTGTAGTCCCAGCTACTCAAGGCAGGAGGATCCTTGAGTCCAGGAGTTTGAGGCTGCAGTGAGCTGTGATCATGCAAAGGTGACAGAGTGAGACCCCATCTCTGAAAAAATGAAAAATTACAAAAAACAAACAGAAGCCATGGGGAGGTTTTAGAGAAGAGGAGCGATATGATCTGAGTTACATTTGAATGGGATTCTCGTGTCTGCTGTGAGGGGAACTTGCAGCAGTGGGTGAGGGAAAAAGCAGGGAGACCAGGGAAGAGGCTCCCAATAGTGCCTTGGACCAGGTGGCAGCGTGGGTGTGAGTCAAAGGAGAAGCAGTGGATCGTGTGTATCTTTGCTTGACCCAGTGGGAGAGAACCATTTGCCCCAATGTCTCACACTTTCAGAGCTCTCTATGCTGTTAATTCCTGGTGTTTAGGATAATTTAAAAACTGTGCCACACAGACCCATCTGCATCTAGCAAACCAGAAATAATGAAAACAACTAATCACAAACCAGAAAGGGACCTGGAGACACTTATTGATTGGCTCTAGATAAAAAAGGTTGTGAAAATACTCATTGGTAAATGCTTCTCGGGAGGCCCCAGGCTCACAGAGCTCAGATAGGGTATCGCCCTGTGATGAGATAGTTACTTTTTTCTTTCCTCCAAGAAATTAACCTGCTTTTTTGTGTTGGGTTTAATTTTACCAAAACAAGAAAAAGCTTGCTTTCTTGAACTTAATCTCTCCTCTTTGAACAATTAGCTGCTGATGTTTGCTTTTTTTTTTTTTTTAACTACCTTTTGCTTGTTTAACTATATTATGACACAATAGGGGAATGCACTTTGCATTTTTTTTTTTTTTTTTTTTTGAGATGTGGTCTTGCTCTGTCACCCAGGCTGGAGTGCGGTGGCACAATCACAGGATTATAACTCACTGCAGCCTCGACCTCCTGGGCTCAAGCAATCCTCCTGCCTCAGCCTCCCTAGTACCTGGCACTGCAGGTCCACACTCTTACACCTGGATAATTTAAAAATTTTTTGTAGGGACAAAGTCTCACTATGCTGCCCGGGCTGGTCTGAAACCCCTAGCCTCAAGAGATCCTCCCACCTGGGCCTTTCAATGTATTTCACTTTTAATTGGGTCAATAATAATAATAATAAAATTGATAGTAATAATAATAGTAGATGCTATTTATCAAGCCCTTATGCACTAGGCACAGTGCTAACATCTTTACATAAACATTAAATCATTGCATTATTATAACAATCTGTGAAGTAGATGTCATGAGTATCCCCCATATTACAGATGAGTAAATTTAGGCTCAGAGGTGTTTGTAATTGCCCAATATCACACAGCTAGGAAGATATAGAGAAAGATTCAGACTCGGGTCCATTTGATGATCTATTACCACTCCCTTCAATGTGAAGTCCATATGTTTTGTTTTTGCCTTCATAGGGTAATAGATCCTCCTGTCCATCTATCTGCCTAACCACTCATCTACCCATCCATCCATCTACCCATCCACCCACCCACCCATCCATCCATCCATCCATCATCCATCCACCCATCCAATTATTTCATAAATATTTATTGAGCCTCAGTATGTATTAGGTAGTATTGAGATGCTTTTCCCATATCTTATCAACTCCTTGAAACTCACAATGATTTATTCCCATTTTAGGGTTCTCTGAGATAGGAATTCTTGTTCAAGTGATTTATTGAGGGAGAGTTCTCAGAAGAACTGGAATGAGAAAAGCAGGAGAGGGCAGAAAAAATGCTAAGCACAGGTGTGGTCTTTAGGTGGAGAAAACTTCAGCCTGATGCCGTGGGGGAACTCTAGAGCATAAATTCCACCATGGAGTTGGTGTCATCTTGAGACAAGGGGGCCAGGCTTCTGCACCACAGTGTCTATCAATTACTGGCTGCCCTAGGGGTAGGTTAGGGCAGAGCCTCCTGGGGAAAGTGGGTTCCATCTGGCTAAGGCCAATTCTTTGGAGAAGGGTGTAGCTGTGAGCCCTTTACAGCAGCTGGGGATAAAGAGATTCTGGGCGGGGAACCAGTAGCTATCCACTCCCTTTCCTCTCTTTATCTCCTGTAATTCAGGTCAATCTAGCACTCATCTGCTCAATACATAATCGTTAATGGCTCCCTCTGGGCTGGGCACTGTTCTAGGCACTGAGGACTTTGTGGTGGAATAAGACAGGTACAATCCTTGCTGTCATTCACTGTCTGTGGGATGGGTTGGTGGGAACAACATTAAACAGGTGAATATAATATAGTGGGTTAAGTCCCTGGGGTGGGAGATGATGGCTAACCCTGACACTCAGCTAGCTTAATTAAGGGTTAGATGGGCAGGTGTGAGGATCAGATGGGCAGGTTGGGGATGAGGAGAAAATATTCCAGGTAGGGGAAACAGGGTGATATGGGGCTGCATGACTCCCAGCTTGCATCTATCTGTAGAGTTTTTACAGGTGCACAGTGGGTAACTCAGATGGCAGCTGTACCCTTGTCCTGTGGCTTCTGCCTGTGCTCATGTGGTCTCTGCTTTAATCTTGCAGCAAACTTGGACACAAAACTTTACACCTCTACAGGGTCCCTAAGAGAATCTTGTCACACAAAAGCACTATTGAGCAAGGTAGACTTTGCTGAAGATTTCACAGTGAAATGGAGGCAGGGCTCGTCTTGCACAAAAGTGTCTTGACAATTAAAAAAAATCCTCATCGGCAATTTCTGTTGTCCTCCTTGGAGAAGAAGGAATGGATGCCCTCTTTGGAACTAGCTGCAACGGAGTTTCTGTTTTTCAATGGGGTAAGGGGTTCAGCCTTTTAATTCCTCCAACTTTTTCTCAGAAGTTCAAACCCACTTTTAACAAAAAAGTGTATAAATTTATTTTCTTATTAAAAATTTTTTTTTTGAGACAGGGTCTCTGTCTGTCACTGAGACTGGAGTGCAGTGGTGTGAGCATGGCATCATGGCTCACTGCAGCCCTGACCTCCCAGGTTCAAGTGATCCTCCTGCCTCAGCCTCTTGAGTAGGTGGGACCACAGCTATATGCCACCGCACCTGCTAATTTGTAATTTTTTTTTGTAGAGATGGGCTCTCCTCATGTTGCCCAGGCTGGTCTCGAACTTCTGAGCTCAAGCAATCCTCCTGCCTCAGCCTTACAAATTGCTGAGATTATAGGCATGAGCCACTACCCCTGGCCTGAAAGCGTGTAAATGTAAGGGGATACTAATGTAATTTAGCTACATGGATATATTGCATATGGTGAAGTCTTGGCTTTTTAGTGTATCTGTTGCTTGAATAATATGCATTGTGCCTGATATAGTTTGGTTGTGTCCCCACTCAAATCTCATCTTGAATTGTAACTCCCACAATTTCCACATGTCATGGGAGGAACCTGGTGGGAGATGATTGAATTATGGGGGTAGGTCTTTCCTGCACTGTTCTTATGATAGTGAATAAGTCTCATGAGATCTGATGGTTTTTAAAAAGAGGAGTTCCCCTGCACAAGCTCTCTCTCTGCCTGCTGCCATCCATGTAAGACGTGACTTGCTCCTCCTTGCCTTCTGCCATGATTGTGAGGCCTCCCCAGCCATATGGAACTACAAGTCCATTAAACCTCTCTTTCTTTTGTTAATTGCCCAGTCTCAGGTATGTCTTTATCAGCAGTGTGAAAACGGACTCATACAGTGCCCATTAAGTAATTTCTCATCACCCACCCTCCTTCTGTGCTCCTCCATCTTTCTGAGTCTCCAATGTCTATCATTCCACATTCTCTGTCCATTGCATGCGTTATTCAGCTCCCTTTTATAAGAGCAATTTCTCACCCTTTCTGATACCAAGCAGTTCCACTCTGTTCCAGCCTGGGTTCAAGTTTGCACACTCCAAGCCCATCTTAGTGAATAAACCACAAGGGTTCCTCCAAGTGACAAACCCACTGTCCTTGGAGGAGAGTGCATATTTAGAATGCTTTCCAAAGGGTGGCTTTATCAACTTACATATTCTTCACTGGGTTACAGAGAAGATACCACAAAGGCGTTTTTGTGTCCCCTCTCCTTCAGGGGACATGTGGCCATGCCTGGAGACAATTTTGATTATCACAACTGAGGGGGTGGTACTACTGGCATCTAGTGCAGTGGACAGCCCCCTCTAAGTGTCATCCTGTGTGACTGGAGCATAGCGGACAAGGGAGAGAAGTGAGAGGTGAAGTCTGAGAGGTGGGCAGGCCTAGCCTTATGGAACCTTTCAGTCTATAGTAAGGAGCTTATGTACAAAAACTGGATCTAGGGGGTTGGGTGTGGTGGCTCATGCCTGTAATCCCAGTACTGTAGGAGGCCAAGGCAGGAGGATGACTTGAGTCCAGGAGTTCAAGGCTAGCCTGGGAAACATAGTGAGACCCTGTCTCTCTAAAAAAAAAAAAGTTAGCTGGGTGTGGTGGCACATGTCTGTAGTCCCAGCTACTGTAGTCCCAGCTACTCAGGAGGCTGAGGCAGGAGAATCACTTGAGCCCAGGAGTTCACTTGAGCTATGATCATGCTGCTGCACTCTAGCCTGGGCAACAGAGCAAAACCCTGTCTCTAAAAACAACAACAAGAAACAAAAAAGATAACAATCTATATGAGTCATCCTTCAAAATAGTGATTGTTAGTTGTGTTTAATTTTGTTTTTGTAAATGATTATTGCTGTGGTCTTAATGTTTGTCTCCTCCAAAACTCATGTTGAAACTTAATCCCCAGTGTGGCAGTATCAAGAGGTGGGGCCTTTAAGAGGTGATTGAGTCATGAGGGCTCATGAATGGATTAATCTGTTCATGGATTAATGGATTAATGGACTAATGGACTATCAAGGGACTGGGACTGGTGGCCTTATAAGAAGAGGAAGAGAGAACTGAGCTGGCATCCAGCCCCCTCGTTGTGTGATGCCCTGGGCTACCTTGGAACTGATGGGACTCTGCAGAGAGTCCCCACCAGCAAGAAGGTCCTCACCAGATGCTGCCCCTCAACGTTGAACTTCTCACTTTCATAAATTTAAGAAATAAAATTTCTTTATACATCACCTAGTTTCAAGTATTCTGTTATAAGCAACAGAAAATGGAATAAGACAGTCAGGTTTTTGTTAAATGATGGTAAATCTTTACTTATTTTGAATTTGGAGACATGTTTCTTGAAGGTCAGAATTTATGAATATTTCAAAACCTGGAATGAGACTGAGGTCTGGATCTTGGTTTAGCCAGGTGACCCTGGGCAAGTTATTTAAAATCTCCATTGTCTTCCCCTGCTAGACTTGCAGCACTGCTTGAGGTTATGTCTCTAATTTTCTGATCATGAGATGGCTTTCAAGTTCTAAGTCAAGATGGGAAGCAAACACTATTCTTCCCTAAGAACATGATTCTCAGGGGTGACAGTGATGCTCATGTTTAATGCCAATTTAAAAAATAAATGGGTCGGCTGGGCGCAGTGGCTCACGCCTGTAAACCCAGCACTTTGGGAGGCCAAGGTAGGTGGATCACAAGGTAAGGAGTTCGAGACCAGCCTGGCCAATATGGTGAAACCCCATCTCTACTAAAAATACAAAAAATTAGCCGGGCGTAGTGGCGGGCGCCTGTAGTCCCAGCTACTTGGGAGGCTGAGGCAGGAGAATGGCGTGAACCCGGGAGGCGGAGCTTGCAGTGAGCCGAGATTGCGCCACTGCACTCCAGCCTGGGCGACAGAGCGAGACTCCGTCTCAAAAACAAAAAAAAAACAAAACAAAAAAACAAACAAACAAACAAACAAAATACAAAAAGTTAGCCAGGCGTGGTGGCGGGCACCTGTGGTCCCAGCTACTCAGGAGGCTGAGGCGGGAGAATTGCTTGAACCTGGGAGGCAGAGGTTTCAGTGAGCTGAAATTGCACCACTGCACTCAAGCCCAGGCAACAGAGCAAGACTCAAAAAAAAAAAAAAAAAGGGTCACTATTTTGAATGGATGACAGGTATGTCCATCACTGCTGTTTTGGTGATTTATGTGATAAGTATCTCCTTAAATGCAGGATGTTGTCCCATCTGTAGTACACCAGATGATTTCTGATGGTACCTGCAACAATTTGGGGGCACAGCATTACATAATCTCATGAGTCACATAGAGAAATGTGGATCCTCTTTTCCATCTTTTTCAATCCTCCAGATGAGATCACGAAGAAAGTCTCAGTTGGGTGCTCGTGGAACTCTAACACTTGCTCCAATCCCTGTCTTTAGCAAACAGACAGCATCTTAGACTCAGAGCCTGGGAGGAGGTGAAAATATTTAACTAGAATTTTACATCATTTTGTTTCCATTGTTTTTACATTTTTTTCCTCTTCCTTTCTGCAAGTATTGGTTTTCCATTTATGGTAGTGATATGAAATTTTCCTTTACGAGAATTTTATTTGAGTACAGTAAATTAATCTAAGAAAACTAATAAATAATACAGTAGGTCAGGGCTCAGCCAACCTTTTCTGTAAAGGACTAGATAGTAAATATTTTAGGGTTTGAGAGCCATATGGTTTCCGTTTCAACTATGCCACTATAATATGAAAGTAGCCATAGACAATATGTAACCAAGTGGGTGTGGCTGTGTTACAATAAAACTTTATTTACAGAAACAGGGTTTGGATTGGCCTATGGGCTGTTGTTTGGTATTCCATGTACTAGGTAATATCCTGGCAATGTAGTTGGTAGTTAAGTGCTAGGCTCTGGAGTCAGCATGCCTGGGTTTGAATCTCAGCTTTGCCACTTACAGGGTGTGTATTCTTTACTCTCTTTGCCTCAGTTTCTTTATTTGTAAAATGAAGATGATAATTCTAACTCATAGGATCTTCATTAGGATTATATACATTTGCTTAGAATAGTGCCTGATGTACAGTTAAATGCCATGTAAATGTAGGTGGTCATTAATGTTATTTTTATATGCAGACATGACAAAAAATGCCAAAGAGGCTTATGATTGCCTGAATATTAGGAAACACTGAATTTAGTAGAAAATATAATGATGTTTGTTATTGCTCCTAACTATCTCCTACCCCTTTTAGTGATTCCCTGGGGTACTGTCATCTTTGGCGAGTTGGGGAGGGAGGGGAGTAAATGTAAGGAGGACAGAGCTCCATCTACTTGCTGAACACTGGAAAAGTAAGGCCCATGAGGGAATGGATTTTATAGACCTGGCTCTGAGTGCATAAGTTGACTTCTTCTTCTTCTTCCTGTATGACTTGACTTTCTTTGGCAGTAACAAGGGAAAATATCAGGTGCAGCAGGTGCCACTAATGTTAGTAACCCATGTCAACTTACAAAATCTGCCAGAAGAATGAGCTCTGCCATCCTAGGTTGTTATGTCCCAGGTAGAACACTGTAGGTAATATGGATTCACAAACATTTAATAAAAAAAAATCAGTGTCTTAAACATGATATAAGCTTATTTCTCTCTAATATAGCAATCTGGGTAAATAGTTAAGGGCCAGTAGAGTGACTCTACAATGGCCAAGCTCTTTCTATCTTGTTGCTTAGCACTTGAAACATTTGACTTTCACCTGATGGTCCAAGATGGCTGTTTTAGCTCCTGCCATCACATGTGCATTCCAGCCAATGGGAAGGAGGAAGACTAAATGGAGACCACCCACTTTCCTTTAAAAACAGGACCCAGAAATCACACATATCACTTCTACTCACATTTTATTGGCCAGAATTCAGTCACATGGCCACATCTAGCTACATGGAGGGCTAACAATGCAATGTCTGGCTAGGTGAACTTGTGCCCACCCAAACATTTTATATAGAACAGTGTTTCTCAACTTGAGGCAAAATTACCCTCCTAGTAAACATTTAAAAATATGCAGGGGCATTTTTGGTCTTCATGATGGCTAGGGAACATTCTTGGAATTTGATGGGTGGGGCCAGGTGTGCTAAACTTCCTAAACTATGTGAGATACTCCCTTGTAATGAAGAATTGTGCCATCCAGGATACCAACAGTGCCTCTGTTGAGAAAGATGGCTATGGAAAAAGTAGAAAACAGAGGTTGGGAGATAATTTGCCATCTGCCACACTTAGTTTATCTACAGTGATCACAACTGTCCCAGAGGGCAACGCCTGGGACATTCTTGAGTGTAGGCTTGAGATAGACCTCAATTTGCCATATGATCACATTCTCTGAGGTATACTCAGCCCTTTCACACACTCTACTCTAGACTTTCTCCCATAAAGACCCCCAAAATACCCACTAGCTCAGGCACCCTACCCCAGTTACTATATTTTAAAAATCTGTATAGAGCTTACTGCCATTGACATGTGGAGGAGGGGCCCCCATCTGCAGGGCAACTGGAAGTAATGCCTATGGGGCTCAGCCTCCATCAGACTGTCCACCCCACTTTGTTGAACCCTGAATGTAAATCCCTTCTAGCCCCCTCCTCCTCCTATTCCCATCCTGTATCTCCTCAACTCACTCCTTCATTACATTTTATTCCTATTAGCATAATATGCAGAGTATTTCCAAACATATATAACCGTTCATAATAACATCTTTATAATCCTCCAAACCAATATACTGTATATGTTTACTGCTTATGTGAACATATTTCTCCTTTCTGATACAACAGATTTCCCTTCAGCATAATCCTCCCCAATGTGCTTCTCATTTAAATATATACTTTATGCTTTTCCTATGGGCAATGCCAAACATGTGCAAAAGTAGACAAAATAGTATGAGTCTGTGAGTACCTATCACCCAGCTTCAACAGTGATGAACTCATGACCATTGTTTTTTAATTTTTTCTCCTTCCTACCTCCTCCCAGACATGAATAGGTATTTTGTGAGGAGGACTGGGGAGGATCATGCTGAAGGGAAATGTGTTGTATTAGAAGGGAGAAATACGTTCAGATAAGCAATAAACATACACAATGTATTGGCTTGGAGGATTATAAAGATGTAATGATGGATGGTTATATATGTTTGAAAATACTCTGCATATTATGCTAATAGGAATAAAATGCAATGAAGGAGTGAATTGAGGAGACACAGGATTGAATGCTGAATAAATCAACTTTTCCTGTAGTTCCCATAGCCAGGCCCCTTTCCATATTATGTTACCTTTTCCATTTTCCTCTCTGCTCCACCATGTCTTGCATTGTATCACACAACCCATCATCAACAGCAAGAGCAGTGATAAAGAGAGCCCGAAGGCAGAAGCTTCTGGGGACCCCTTTCCAGCAGCCCCACCTGGTTCTTTTACATCCTTTGAATTCTTGTTATCTCATGATAAGGATGGTGTCTGCCAGTTGGTACCATAATATTTCCTGGGCAGATCTAGTTGGTGTTGGCTTCTGCTACAGTTTGGATGTGTGTCCCCTACAAATCTTATGTTGGAATCTGATCCCCAACATTGGAGGCGGGGCCTAATAGGAAGTGTTTGGGTCACGGGTCTGGACCTCTCATGAATAGATTAATACCCTCCCTGGGGCAGGGGAGTAAGTGAGTTCCCTCTTAGTTCCCATGAAAGCTGATTTTTGAAAAAGATCCTGGCATCTCCCCTCTCACCCTTTCTTGCTTCCTCTCTCACCACCTGATTTCTGCACACGCCAGCTCCCCTTTGCCTTCTACCATGAGTGGAAACAACCTGAGGCTTTCACCAGATGCCCATTCTTCCAGCCAACAGAATCATGAGCCAAATAGCCCTTTTTCTTTATAAATTACCCAGCCTCAGGTATTCCTGTCTAGCAACACAAATGGACTAAGAAGATAGCTACTTGGCACCAGGTGTGTTACTTACGCATATCTTATCCCAATGGCCATATCCACACCTTAATTAGATAACCACCCGAGTTAATGAAATCCTATGTAGTAAATGAGATGAATACTCCTATCTCTAATCAACCCTTAATCTAGTTATTTGCCAAAATGTGTTCTATGGAACACTGGTTTCTACAGGGATCTTGAAAATTAATTCGAAAAGTGTTTTATGGTCAACAGGGTGGTTTTCTGCAGGACTTCTCAGAGCCTTTAATATGTTAATGATGTTGTGAGGCTCCCAGAAGGGGTTAACAAATGCAGAATTGCCCCCACTTTATTTCAGCCCTTTATTTTTTATACCATCTCTCACAGGACCACTGTTTTGGAGAAAGGTCTCTAGAAATGCTCCCTCAATCATCTCTTCAAGTATCCTGAGATAGAGAAGGCAGAATGCCCTATATGAGATGAGGAAACCCGAGATGATAGAGAAACTGCAATCTATCATCAGTGGAATAGGAGGATACTATGGCCGAGGTCTGCAGGTTTTTCCCTTTCCTGGGTGCCCAGGACAGCTCCCATTGATTGGCACTTTCTTCCTAAGCATTAACAGGTCATTGGTTTTAGGGAGATCAGATGGTAAGTGATCATAGCCTATGTGACAGATCTTGTTCAACCCCTCCCCTCCTTTATTTCATAGTTGTGTGTATTTGGGCAATTGCCTCAATCCCTCTGAGCCTCTGTCTTCTTTTGGGGTCTCCTGAGAAACTGACTCCAAGGCCAGTGGTTTACGGGTGTATCATTATGCTGGCCTCAAGAGCAGGCAAGGGACTGGTAAGTAGAAGGTGACCTCCTAAGCGGGACTGGGGGCTGTGTTTACACTCTGGTACTTCCTGTTCTGTTTGCACAGCCAGAGAGGCTTTTATGATTCTATAAAAAGCCCCACAAAGGAATCCTATGCAGCCATAAAAAGGAACGAGATCATGTCCTTTGCAGGCTATGGATGGAGCTGGACGCTGTTATCCTTAGCAACTAACACAGGAACGGAAAACCAAACACTGCATATTTTCACTTATAAGTGGGAGCTGAACAATGAGAGCACATGGATACATGAAGGGATGGGGGTAACACTGGGGCCTGTCGGGGGAGAGGTGACGGGAGGAAGAGCATCAGGAAGAATAGCTAATGGATCCTGGGTTTAATACCCAGGTGATGGGATGATCTGTGCAGCAAACCACCATGGCACATTTACCTATGTAACAAACCTGCACATGTACCCTGGAACTTGAAATGAAAGTTGAAGGGAGCCCCCCTCCCCCCACAAAGATGCAGATATTGGTAGCTGGAAATGGCTGAAAGACACCAAAGGGCTGAGTCCTGATCATCTGCTCCAGCTCCCAAACCTGATCTGTACACATCAGACTGACACCTTTATCACAGGGGTAGGTGAGGATGAGACCCCAAAGTGTTCCGCATGACGTCTGGTAACAAAGGTGACATCTACCTGTTGGTGGGTGCTAAGTCATGTGCCAGGCACACAGTTGAATCCTCACAACAGCTCAAGCAGCTCTGGGCAGTTATCTCCATGTACAAATGAGAATATGGAAGCTCAGAGAGGGTAGGTAACTCATCAAGGGTCATACAGCTGGGAAATAGTGGAGCCGGGGTTCAAAGCAGGGCTCTGGCTGGCCAGGCATGGCAGCTCACGCCTGTAATCTCATCACTTTGGGAGGCTGAGGCAGGTGAATCACTTGAGGTCAGAAGTTCCAGAACAGCCTGACCAACATGGTGAAACCACGTCTCTACTAAAAAAAAATACAAAAATCAGCCGGGCGTGGTGGCACGTGCCTGTAATCCCAGCTACTCTGGAGGCTGAGGCAGGAGGATTGCTTGAACCCAGGAGGTGGAGGTTGCAGTGAACCGAGATAGCACCATTGCACTCCAGCCTGGTCAACAAGAGCAAAACTCCATCTCAAAAAAAAAAAAAAAAAAAAAAAAAAAAAAAAAAAAAAAAAGCAGCAGGGCTCTGGCTGAAGGCTATGACCTTAACCACTGTACTACACAGTCTCTAATAACTAGGGGCTTATTAATGATCCCTCCTTTCACCCTCTCTTTTCCCCATCTTTTCATCTCTCCTTTCCCTGTCTTCTCCTCTACACTCTCTTCTCTTTTTTCTTTCTTCTCAGGATAGTTACCCTGGGCCATTCGATGTCCAGTAAATATTTTTTGAATTGAATAGCATCTCAGTTTGGAGCAATAGATGCTTAGTTCACAAAATTTGATTGAATCAACTGTCAGAAAAATCTGAGTGCATGGAAGTTCTGCAGAGGTAGGGGATTGTGGCCACGGAATTTAATACCCTTTGCAAATCTCAATAACTTCCTGAAATTCTCTAGGGGGCATGGAGTGGAGGAGTGTGAAGAATGATGAACATGACAAGTGAGAATCCTTTAGTCTCTGACGTCTCTTCCTCAACGCTCTAGATTTTTCTCTCCTTTCTTTGCCAGCTCCCTTCTCCTTCAGCATTTTCCCTCCTCCCCACTCCGCAGCATAGAAGGTGGGAAAAATAACTGCAGTGGAAATGCAGTCATTCTTAATAGGACATTTGTGTGTCTGGGGCATGGAAAATGGTTGGGTCACATTGAACAGCCAAATATTAAGAAGCTTGGTTAAGAAACTGGACATAGCTGAATTAGGGTGTGTTTCTGTTTTCTGTGCTTTTAGAATTATGTGGCCATAAATCTCCTAATCAGACATGATAAACATCTGATTGCAGCCATACGCTAGCATTTGCATCGCAGAAAGCAAATTTTGAAAAGGTCATCATTTAACTTCTGCTGCTTGCAGTCAGCCTGCTCCTTGGCTCTATTAAATTCAAAGCTATACAGTAAAATATTGCTTGTTTGCTAATTTTGCTCCATTGAGCCTATCTCAGGATCCTAGCTATTGCTTGGTATGGCATGCTTTAAGTGACCTGGATCAGAGACAGTGTTAAATGTGGTCAGATGTGAAGATTGGAATCTTTCTAAAATTGCATTTATTTATTTACTTATTCAAGACAGAGTTTTGATCTGTCACCAGCTCTGTCAGGCTGGAGTGCAGTGGTGCATTCTTGGCTCACTGCAACCTCCGCCTCCCAGGTTCAAGTGATTCTTGTGCCTCAGCCTCTTGAGTAGCTGGGATCACAGATGCACGCCACCACACCTGGCTAATTTTTGTATTTTTAGTAGAGACAGGGTTTCATCATGTTGGTCAGGTTGGTCTCAAACTCCTGACCTCCAAGTGATCCGTCCACCTCGGCCTCCCAAAGTGCTGGGATTACAGGCATGAGCCACCGTGCCCAGCTGAAGGTTGGAATCTTAATCTCAGAGAAGTGCTAGAAATTGTAGAGATTTGTAACTATCTTGTTAGGAAAGAGGTAGGTGGACCTTCTATAGATTGAGATGTGGTAGAAGTGTAGCTTCTTTCCTTCCTTCATTCAATCAGGATTTAGTGAGCACATAACAGGATCAAGGCTCTTCTAAGCATTCTATATTAATTATTGACTCAGTTAATCTTTGCAATGACCCTACACTGTGGGTTATATTATTTCTATTTTTCAGGTGAGGCACAGAGAGGTTAAGTGACTTACCCAGAGTTACACAGCTAGTTAAGTGATGGAGCTGGGATCTTAAGCTCAGGGTGTTTGACTCCTGAGTGCAGGCTATTCCTGCAGCTTGCTAAATGCTGGAGATGTAGCAAAGAACAAGACAGCATTGTTCTCAAGGATCTCACCTTCTTTGTAAAAAACAAACATAGCATTTAAAATCCCTGCATATGTAATTCCGGCAACTACCATTTATTTCATGCCTACTGTGTGCCTGAGGCTAAACTGCATGTTTACTATTTTTTCCAATTTTTTCAAGAACTCTCTGAGGTAGGAAGTTTTATCCCCATTCAGCAGGTGAGGAAACTAAAGTGTAGAGAGGTTAATTTAAATTGTGCAAAGTCATACATTAATAGGGGTGCCAGATTTAGCAAATAAAAATTCAGGATACCCAGCTAGATTTGAGTTTTCTATAACAAATACATTTTTAGTTTAAGTATATCCCATGAAATCTTTGGAGACACACTTACACTAAAAAATTATTTGTTGTCTAACTGAAATTAAATTTAACTGGACATCCTGTATTTTATCTGGCAATTCTATACAATCAGTATGTGGCAGTGTTGGGATTCAACCTTGGGTCTTCCTAATTCTAAATTTTTCAGTTGGCCAGTTGCAATCAGAGTCAAAATGGGTGCCTCAGAGTCACTTCTGACCTTGAGTTACACTAGCTGCTTTTGCCCACAATTTGTCTGTAAATGTTGTTAAGGCAGATGATAGTAAATAATAATAATAATAATCCACTCAACCAGTATTCATTAAGTACCAGGCACTCTTCTAAGACTTTCGATTGTTTAATTTAATCCTCACATCAATTCCATAAGGTGTGTTCTATTATCATTCCCATTTTCTAGCAGTGTTTTTCAAATGGGAGTGGTTTCTCCCCCAGGGTAAGGCAAGGTCTGGAGATACTTTTTGGTTGTCTCAAATATGGGTGCTACTGGCGTCTAGTGAGTAGAGGTCAGGGGTGCTGCTCAATGTACTACAATGCACGGGACAGCACCCCTCCCCTCCAAGAATTATCTGGCCCAAAATGTCAATAGCTCTAAAGGTTGAGAAACCCTGTGCTAGAGTAACTAAAGGCAAGAGAGGTTTGGTAACTTGCCCGAACTCACACTGGTAGTCAGTGGCCAAGGTGAGATTTGAATCTAGGCAGCCTGGCTCCCGAATCTGTGCATTTAACCACCATCACGCTGTACCCAGTTTGCCTATGAGGATGAAGAGGTCTGGAAGCTTGGATTACCCACCTGTGATCCCACAGCCAGTGGGTAGCGAGGATAGAACCATGACTCATGTGTCTTGTTTCCTAATTCATTACTTCCATCCCTCCCTGCATCCTATTATCCTAATTTCCTAACCAGTAACTCCCAGCTGCTGATGCAGAAGTCAAATCAAGATTAGGTAAATGCTAAGCTAGAGTTAAGCATGTGTGTGTTCGTGTTGCATTTCAATAGAATTTAAAGTATTTTGTTCATCCATTCATTCAGCCAACATTTCTGTGTGCCCACCCCTGCTCTGGAAGTGGAGAAATAAAGAGAAGACATAGTTTCTGCTACATGGGGCTTAAAATCCAGCCTCACTTTCATCTCAGTGTAAAATTCTATGATTCTAGGCTGTTTGCCTTCATGTTCGTGTCAGCCTGGGTTTCCCCAGAAGCACACTCTGTGATAAGAATTTGGGTACAAATGGTTTATTTGGCAGGTGATCTCAGAAAACAGGTCAGGGAGTTGGGAGGTGAGACAGGGAGGGGAAGAAAGTCAACAGATAATGTTTTGCAAAAATAGAACTAATATTTGATCCAGCAATCCCACTAATGGGTTTCAACCCAAAGGAAAAGAAATCATTAAAGAAAAAAGATACCTACACTTGTATGTTTATCACAGCACTATTCACAAAAGCTAAGTGTCCATCAACAGATGAATGGATAAAGAAAATGTAGTATATATACCATGGAATACTACTCAGCCATAAAAAGAATGAAAGCATGTCTTCTGCAGCAATGTGGATGGAACTGGAGGCCATTATCTTAAGTGAAATCACTCAGAAACAGAAAGTCAAATACTGCATGTTCTCACTTTTAAGTGGGAGCTAAATAATGTGCACACATGGGCGTAGAGAGTGGAATAATAAACACTGGAGACTTGGAAGGGTGGGAGTGTGGAAGGGAGCTGAAGTATAAGAGATTACCTAATGGTACAATGTACACTATTTGGATGATGGTTACACTAGAAGCCCAGACTTCATTAGGAAATATATCCATGTAACAAAACTGCATGTGTACCTTCTAAATCTATAAATAAAATGAAAGATATTGTTCAGATTGAGCCTGTTTGCACTGTGGGTGATTGGAGTTCAGTCCTGCTGGGGAACACTGGGAGAGGGTGCAGAACACAAGCTACAGAGTTAACCTACCTGAGGGGAGTTTGTCCTTCAGCACTCATCTCTTGTGGACTGGGTTGCTCCTGATGGCATGAATGCCCTGTCACTTCTGATCTGCCCTGCAAATGAGCCAAAAGAAACACCTCGGACAGGCAGTCACAGGTGCATGCCATCTGATAAGTACCTAGAAGATATGGTACAACACCATCCATCTCTGCTACAGTGGCTGAGAAACATTTATTGAGCACGTACTATATGCCAGGTACTTTCATATGTTAGCTCATTCTTTTGATCTCTTGAACTCCACCAAAGATCCTCAAATAACCATCTTTAACAGCTTTGCTCAGTCCTTACTCATCCTCATCTTTAGCTGCCATGTAGATGAGGTCAATATCCACAAGAAACTCACCTGAGTGGGGAAGAAACTCGCTTTCCAGTACAATAGATAGCTATATAATAAAAGCACAATGTTACCCTGAATAGCTGCAGCTCATTACATGGAAAGAAACTGAAAATAAAATCAACACGGAGAAAAGCAGAATCATGCCCTGGGGAGAGACCAAGCTTTGATCACATCATTTGAGTGCCTGGATGCAGCTGTACCTGAAGCAAAAGACTCCCAGGCATTTTATATGCCAGAGACGATAAATTTTCATTTGATTTTTAAAATTTTTAAAAGTTGAGTATTGTTCAGATATAAGCTGGTGAGTTCTGACTGATAGTCAAACAGAGAGATACCGTGAGAGTTGTTCAAAAAAATGAAGCTTATGAATGAGGTCCTGAGTTTGAAATGATAGTTACTAGACCAAACCACAAGGCAACATTGATTTTAATATCACACCACATGCCACCCTGGATTTTTTCCCCCTACAACAAAGGGTCATGTTGTCCAACATCATTATGTATGAGTTTTTGCTTTGTTTGAAGTTAGTACACTTGGTCTCGTTAAATGTCTGCCGGTTTCTTTGGTTCTGTTGAATGATGTCCTTATCTATGTGGCTTTTTCTAGATTTTCTGGGGTATAAATCACCCAGGCACATTATGGATCTTCTCAGTTTATTGCCAGGAAAATTTGTTGTTCTCTGAAATGTGTGCTTGAACCACTGGAGCAGAGCACTTACGACTGTGTTTTAAGATTATCACAAGAAAAAAATTCTGCAAGCAGTGCTTGAACTAAATTAGGATCTTGCTTTTAGAGAGGCAGGTGTAGGGTGTTTCAAAGCAAAGTGAGCTCTCCTCTGCAAATTTCGTCTTTCTACTCCATCTGGAGCTTGAATTTCCATCCTTGGGGGTAAATCACATCTGCTTTGGATTTCATAGGATGTCTCTTAAGTATCTTCACAGAATTGTTCAAAGATTGCAATCGCTTCTAGTAGATCTGATTCATAAGTTCGTGGGTGCAGCAGCTGCTCTCTGAATCAATTTGTCAATGTGAGTGGCGTTTTGAATGGGGGCAGAGATGAGAGCAGACAGCCGGTAGACAGCCATAGGAGGTGGTTTTATAGAAGAGTGGTAAGCCATAAGGATACCATCCCACGATCAAATCTCAGCTCTGACACTAGCTATGGCACTCTGGTCGATTTTCATATTGTTTTGAGCTTCAGTTTCCTCATCTGTAAAATGAGGTTAATAACAGTACCTGCCTCATGGGTTGCACTGGATTAAATCTGAGAAGAAATGTATACCATTTAGTCTGGTGGGAGAGTTGCAGGTGCCATGTGCTATGGGCATATAGTAAATGTTCATTAAATGGTAGCTATTTGTGTGCACCAGGATGCTTTTGATCCAAAAGAAAAATATCTTGATTCGACTGGCTTAAACAATAAAGAAAAATTTATTATCATAGGTAACAGTGACTCCAGGATTAATTCAGTGCCTTGACAACTTCACCAAGACCAACGTTCTTCTTATAATTCTCCTTTGTCATCTTAATGTCAGTAAGTAGCCCTAAAGGTGATAAGATGGCTCTCTCAGTTCTAGATGTTATTTTCAGATGTAATATAATGTCCCCCCATGGAAGAGGCTCCATTTTCGTTTGTGTGCCTCTTTTTAAGAGCAAAAATACCTTTCTCTAAAAACCCTGGCAGACGTCCACTCACATCTCACAGGTTGTGGGTCTTCAGGGACCCTGGAAGGTGTGGCAGTTGGAGGCTCTCAGCCGGTCACACTCCTCCCAGCCACCTCTCATGGCCAGTACATCACCAAAGAGGCTTGGGGAGCCTCCCTTTTCTCAGCCTCAAAATGATTATGTGCACAGTGAGGTTGGACAGTTTCCTGTCTACTAGCTGTGTGACTTTGGAAAAGTGGTGTCCCCTCTCTGAGCCTCCATTTTTCCATCCCTAATGTTAATTCCACTTTTCAATACTCACTGTTGGCTGATTGTTTGCCAGATGACACTTGAGGGGCCTGGGACTCAACAGTGAACAAGACACACAGTCCCTGTCCTCATATTGCTGATGCCTGGTGAGAGTCCCCAACTCACAGAGTTGGTTTGATGACCGATGTGGAGATGACCTTGTAAATGGGCTGGTCCTAACTGCATGGTCTCTTTTGCTAACACTGGAGGGTATGCATCCCATAGTTTGGGACTGCATTAATCTTAAAAGCTATGGGGGTACTCTAAAGTGTGAATTTAGCCACACATTAGCTTAGGTTTTTTCCAGAGCGCAGAACAGCTAAGAATCAAAGGAGCCTAGCTGTATTACACTTGCACAAACCAGTTTTTCTTTTCTGGATTGAAGACCCACATTTTATGTTTAATGGACAAAAGTGATGTTTCCCTTGGCCTGTTTTTTTTGAAGATATCCTTAACAAAATCTGTCTCATCTTTACCAATACCATGACAATTACAACCCCACCTCAAGCCATTTGTTGGCTAAGAATTTGGGTTCTGGAGCCAGACTGTATATTTGAACCATTGCTCTGGCCATGTGACCCTGAGCGAGTCTCTCTATGCCTCAGTTTCATAATCTGTACAATGGAAGAATAAAGGTAACTACTTCCTAAGATGGTTATATTTTGGGGTATATTTAGTTATCTTTTATTGAATATCTACTGCGTGATAGGTGTGTTATTCTTGATGCTGGAGACAGTAGTGAATAAAACAGAGAGATGTTCTAATGGGGGCAATAGGCAATAAATGAGTAAATTTCATGCTGCAATCAACAGAATAAGCCATGAAGAAAAATCAACCAGGGTAATGGGGCTAGAGAGGGTGTGTGTGTGTGTATGTGTGTGTGTGTGTGTGTGTTGCTTTAGGTTGGATGGTCAGGAATGGCCTCTCTAGGGTGGTTACCTTTGAGCAAAGATGTGGAGAAAGTGAGCCATGTGGATATACATAGGGGGAAGAGCAGGGAACAGCTTTTCCAGGCAGAGGGAACTGCAGGTGCAAAGGCCCTGAGGCAGTGAACGGTTTGAGGAATAGCAAGGAGGGTGGTGGGTGCAGCTGCCACAGAGTAAGTGGGAAAAAGCTTAAGCAAGTGAATGAAAGTCAAATGCTTTGAACAGTGCCTGACATATAGTAAATGCTTGATACATGTTAACTGTTATTGTTATTATTCTTGCTACTAGTCTTAGAATATAAGACTCATTTTGAGGAGACAATTCAGGCTATGTTTTCTCCTGACACTATAAAATATATTAAAAAATCAATTTGGTTTTCTTCTATGTTGAAAGGAATATGTCTATAATCATTGCAGATCATTTGGAAAATACAGTTGAGGAGACAGATGGAGACAACCACTGTTAATGTTTTAGTGTATTTCCCACTTGTATTTTTATATGCTTAGTTTTTAATTTATCACAACTGTGATCATTACATATACTATATACAATTCCATATTTCTATTTTTTTACTTGACCTAATAACATAAATATGTCACATAAAGGTATCATACATAATTTGTTATGGCTGAATAATGTTCCACTGAGTGGAATGTACTTATTTCCCAGTTAATGGACATTTAGGTTGCTTTTCATTTTTCTTAATATACACACTGTGCAAAATGTTTTTGTTTGCTTTCGACTTAGGGTTGTTTCTGTAGGTGACATTCTCAGAGATAAAATTACTGGTTAGGCCAGGTGTGGTAGCTCACTCTCCGGGAATCCCAGCACTTTGGGAGGCTGAGGTGGGACGATCGCTGAGCCCAGGAGTTTGAGACCAGCCTAGGCAACAGAGTGAAACCCCATCTCTACAAAAAAAAAAAAAAAAAAAAAAAAAAAAGCTAGGTGTTGTGGCACATGTCTGTAGTCCCAGCTACTCAAAAGGCTGAGGTGGGAGGATCGTCTGAGCCTGGGAGTTTCAGGCTGCAGTGAGCCATGATTGTGCCACTGTACTCTAGCCTGGGTGACAGAGCAAGACACGGTCTCAAAAAAAAAAAAAAAAAAAAAATGGAAATTACTGATTTAAAATTCATGGTGGTTGGTTTTTCCTTTACACAAATTTATTTATTTATTTATTTTGAGACAGAGTCTCACTCTGTCACCCAGGCTGGAATGCAGTGGTGCAGTCTCGGCTCACTGCACCTCCATCTCCCGGGTTCAAACAATCCTCATGCCTCAGCCTTCCAAGTAACTGGGATTACAGGCATATGCCACCGCACCTGGCTAATTTTTGTGTTTTTAGTAGAGATGGGGTTTCATTATGCTGACCAGATTGGTCTCAAACTCCTGGCCTCAAGGCCCACCTCGGCCTTGCAAAGTGCTGAGATTACAGGCATGGGCCAGCACGCCAGGCCCCTTTACACAAATTTAAAACCAATAGTATTTATTTGTGTGGTTCTTTGATGTAGAATAGACCAGATCTCTTGGTAGACTTCAGATAGTGCTACATTCCATTTTATTACCTTTCGGAGTTGGAAAAGTTCGTGTCCATTCATCTTGGAGAGTAATGAGATTTTCTATTTTGTGCCCTGGCACATTTTTATTTTGAATTATTTAAGAAAACGCTCTATGCAATGCTTTAGTGAGAATTTATGACTCTTGGTACTACTGGAACTAAGGTGATGGAGGCAGTAAGAATGAAATTTTTTTCCATAGGTCATCAGTTGGGTCAAAGATGGAGCTACTAGCCAGGCCTGAGACCTGAGGTAAGTCCCACCGTCTCTTTGGGCCTCAGTTTCCCCATCTGTATTAAAGATTGCAGGACTTGTGTATTCTTATCATTTGTTATATATCAGGCCCAGTCCTAAGCAATATCTGCATTCACAGATGTAAGTTCTTATAGTAATTGGGTGCTCATATTTTGAGGAATACTGCATTTGACTATAAGCTCCAGGAAGGCAGACACCTCATTTTGTTTTATTCACCATTTGTATTAGCCTGTTACGGCTGCCATAACAAAATGCCACAGGCTGGGTGGCTTAAACAATGGCAATTTATTTCTCACAGTTCTGGAGGCTGAAAGTCCAAGATCAAGGTGTCAGCAGGGTTGGTTTCTCCTGAGGCTTCCCTCCCTGGCTTGCAGACGGCTGCCTTCTCACCATGCTCTCACACAGCTTTGCTACGTGTGCACACATCCCTAGCGTCTCTTCCTCTTCTTATAAGGGTTCCACCCTACTGGCCTCATTTTGACTTAACCATTTAAAGACCTTATCTCCAAACATAGTTGCATTCTGAGGTCCTAGGGTTGGGACTTCAACATGTGAATTTTGGGAGGTACAGTCAGTCAATGTAGATCCAGCTTTTAGCACCACCATTATCATCATATATTAGGCAGCAAATGCAGATCCACATCCCCTCAGTTCCTGGTTGTAGAACAAATGAATGAATGAAGTCTGGGAAAGCTGACATTTCCAGTTCAGTCCCAGCAGCCAAGGCAATTGCATTCTACATTACCTCATCTCTAATTTTATCCCCGTTCTGTAGGTGTGGACATTGAGGTGTAGATGTGTGAAATGATTCAATGAAGGTCACATAGCCACTTATGGAGGAGGTGGGACTTGAGTCCAGGCCTCCCTGATGTCAGGGCCAGAATTTCTAACCTCTCTGCTGCACTGAGAAGACAGGCTTGATCATTGCCAAGCTCCCTTAATCCAATTTTAGAATTTTCTACAAATCTTCCTCTTTTCATTGAACTAAGGCTTCCTTATCAGATTGGGTAGGAAGAAGCCAAGAAGAAATTCTTGCACAATGAGGGATGATTCAGGGTCCAAAAGTTGAATTTTTCTCATCCCCTTTTATATATCCTTTTTTATTTTATTTATTTATTTTTTACAAAATGTAACTTATGCCAGCTCTGTGAAGCAGAAAGTTTTGACTTTTTTTCCCCAGTGCTGCATTCTAGTTTCTAGAATAGTGTCTGACACATGAAGACAATAAATATTTATTGAATGAAGTAATAGATACTTGTTTACACATTTTTTTTTTTTTTTGAAATAGGGTCTCGCTCTGTCACCCAGGCTGGAGTGCAGGAGCAGATCATAGTTCACCGCAACCTCCGCCTCCTGGGCTCCAGTGATCCTTCCATCTTAGCCTCCTGAGTAGCTGGGACCACAGGCGAGTGACATTACACCTGGCTAATTTTTTAATGTTTTTGTAGAGACAGGGGTCTCACTGTGTGGTCTAGGCTGGTCTGGAACTCCTGACCTCAAGTGATCCTCCCACCTTGGCTTCCCAAAGTGCTGGGATTACAGACATGAGCCATAGCTCCTGGCAACATTTAATTTTTAATACAACTGTGTTCATATTATTAATACCATTCAAGGCTGGTGTGGTGACTCATGTCTGTAATCCCAGCACTTTGGGAGGCTGAGACGGGTGGATCGCTTGAGCTCAGGAGTTCCAGACCAGCCTGGGCAACATGGCGAAACCCCGTTCCTAAAAAAAACAAAACAAAAATTATCCAGGCATGGTGGTGCATGCTTGTAGTCCCAGCTACTTGGGAGGCTGATGCAGGAGGATGGCTTGAACCCTGGTGGAGGTGGAGGCTGTAGTGAGCAGAGATTGCACCATTGCACCACCCCAGCCTGGGCAACACAGTAAGACCTCGTTACCAAAAAAACCCCCAAAAAACAAACAAACAAACAAACAAAATCCCAACAAAAACCAACTCCCGCCCCCAGCTAAACCAAAACCATTCAACATTTTAAAAACTTCATTATATTATCTTGGTACGTTTGCTTGTGAGTTCTATAGATCTGTCTCACTCTTGCTACAGGAGACTTCAAATGCCGTGGAATACATGAACTTTCATTTTCTAATTGTGCTAAATATAAAGAACACAAAACTTACCATTCTCACCATTTTAAAATATACAATTGAGTAGCATTAAGGACATTCACAACATTGTTCAACCATTACTACTGTCCATTTCCAGAACCTTTTCATCATTCCAAACAGAAACTCTGTACCTGTTAAACAATAATTCCCATCTCCATTCTCTTCTCCCTAGCCCCTGGACACCATGTTTCTATTTTCTGCTTCTGTGAAATTGCCTCTTCTACATACCTCATGTAAGTGGAATCATACAATATTTGTCCTTTTGTGTGAGGCTTGTTTTACATAGCATAATGTTTTACGGGTTCCATGTTTTGTAGCATGTATCAGTATTTCATTCCTTTTTAAAGGCTGAATAATATTTCATTGTATGGCTAGGCCACATTTTGTTTTCCACCCATTCATCTGGTGGAAGAATTGGGGTTGTTTCCACATTTTGGCTATTGTGAATAGTACTGCTATGAACATTTATGTACAAATGTCCATTTGAGTCTCTGCTTTCAAGTCTTTTGAGTACATACCTAGGAGTGGAATTACTAGATCATGTGGGAATTGTTTTTGAGAAACTGCCAAGTGGAGACCTTCATTTAAAAAAATCTAGAGCCAGGGTGTGGTGGCTCACACCTATAATCCCAGCACTTTGAGAGGCTGAGGTGGGAGGATCACTTGAAGCCAGGAGTTCGAGACCAGCCTGGGCAACATAGTGAGACTCTGTCTGTACAAAAACATGAAAATATTAGCTGGGTGTGGTAGCGCTTACCTGTAGTCCCAGCTGTTTGGGAGGCTGAGGTGGGAGGATTGCTTGTGCCCAGGAACTTGAGGCTGTCATGATCGTGCCACTATATTCCAGCCTGGGTGACAGAAAAAGACCCTGTTTCTCAAAAACAACAAAACTCCAAACCTGTTGCTCCCTCCATTTGTGCTAATAACCATGGGGCCAGTGTGGATGAGGACTGGACTGGTGGCTGTTGAGTGACCCAGGAGAGAACAGAGGCTCTGATCTTGGAGAGTCTCACCACCTGGTGTGGTTCCTGCACAGTTTATTCTCCTCCTCCTTTCTTTCCTCTGCCCCATGCAAAAACTCATTCATTCATTTAATTACTCATTCATTCATTAATTCATTTTCAACAATATTCCCTGATTGCTTTTGTCATGTTTCAGGCACAGTTTAGGTGCTGGAAAGTTTTGGTGAAAATAAGCAGCCAAGACCTCTGCCCTCAAAGAGCAAAACAGTCATGCATGGCTTAATGATGGAGATGTGCTCTGAGAAATGCACCTTTAGGTGATTTCGTTGTCATTTGACTGTCATAGAGTATACTTACATCAACCTAGATGGTATAGCCTATTGTACCACTAGGCTGTATGGTGTAGCCTATTGCTTCTCGGCTGCAAATCCGTACAGCATGTTACTGTACTGAATACTGTAGGCAGCTATAACACAGTTGTAAGTATTTGTGTATCTAAACATATCTAAATAGAAAAGGTACAATAAAAATACAGTATAAAAGATAAATACAGGCCGAGGGAGGTGGCTCACACCTGTAATCCCAGCACTTTGGGAGGCCGAGGTGGATGGATCACTTGAGGTCAGGAGTTCGAGACCAGCCTGGTCAACGGTGAAACCCCATCGCTACTAAAAACACAAAAATTAGCCTGTATTCCCAGCTACTCAAGAGGCTGAGGCATGAGAATTGCTTGAACCCGGGAGGCAGAGATTGCAGTGAGCTGAGATCATGCCACTGCACTCCAGCCTGGGTGACACAGCGAGACTCCATCTAAAAAAAAAAAAAAAAAAAAGATAAATTTAATTGTACACCTGTATAGAGAGCTTACCAGGAATGGAGCTTGCAGGACTGGAGGGTGCTGTGGGTGAGGGGTGAGTCAGTGAGTGAGTGGTGAGTGAATGCGAAGGCCTAGGACATTACTGTGCACTGCTGTGGACTTTATAAACACTGTCCACTTAGGCTACACTTAATTTATTTAAAAATTTCTTTCTTCAATAATAAATTAGCTTATTATAACCTTTTTACTTTATATACTTAAAAAAACCCTTTTATTTTAGGTTCGGAGGTACATGTGAAAGTTTGTTATATAGGCAAACTCGTGTCATGGGGGTTTGTTGTATTAGGTATTAAGCCTAGTGCCCAATAGTTATCTTTAATCTTTTAAAATTTTGACTCTTGTGAAAACACAAAGACATTGTTAAATCACAAACACATTGTACAGCTGTACAAAATATTTTCTTTCCTTATATCCTTATTCTATAAGCTTTTTTAATTTTAAGAACTTTTTATTTTATTTTTACTTTTTAAACTTTTTTTTGTTAAAAACGAAAACACAAGCACACACATTAGCCTAGGCCTACACACACAGACATTGTTAAAGACACATACACTGTATTAGCTGTATTAGTCAAGATCGTTACCTTCCACTTCACAACTTTTCCACTGGAAGATCTTCAGGGGCAAGAACTTGCACGGAGCTGTCCTCTCCTATGATAACAATCCCTTCTTCTGGAATCCCTCCTGAAGGACCTGGCTGAGGCTCTTGAGGAGATGTCACTCTTTTCAGAAACACGTCCTGGGGGGTTTGCTTGGTTTGTTTCCTTTTGTCATCATAGATGTGCTTGTAAGCAGATAATACACCATGAACATTCCCCTCTATTAATGAAAGCCTTTCAGTGTTGGGGTCCTTATTGCTTTCAAACTCTTTAAGGAGCTTTTTGAGGTCTGCAGAAGCATCTACTAAACCTGTCCCTGTGAATTTTCTTGGGGATTCTTTTCCTTCTTCTGCAGTTTTCTTTTCTCTTGCCTTTTTTTTTCACTATGCATTCCTGCTCCAGTTCCAACTTCTCATTAGTTAATTCCTCAGGAACCACCTCTAGGAGCTCCTCAGTGTCATCTTCATCCACACCCGGGTTAAAGTTGTTTGCCGTCTCAACCAGAGCTTTGTCGATTTTTGCAACCTCCCCATTCTTGGCAAATCCTTTGAAATCACAGAGAAATCCCTTGAGTATCTTCTTGCAGATTTCATTTATATATTCCTTGGTGACATCACCCCAAGCCTCAGCAAGGTTCTTGGTGCAGTTATAGATGTTGCAATTCTTTCAGAATTCATCAGTGTCTTCCTCAGTTGCAGCGGTAGGCTGGGCAAAGGTTATCCTCAGATGGTAGGTCTTACAAGCTGCTGTAACTCCTTGATCCATTGGTTAGTTCAAGGAGGTGGTGTTCAAAGGTAGAAACACCACTTTGATATTGGGATGAAGATCACCAATAAAAGGAGTATGTGTGGGAGCATTATCAACACTAAGCAAAATCGTGAAAGGCTTGTTCTTCTCCTCTATCAGTGTTTCCCCATTTTGCTGGCAGAGCAATTCAGGACGGCATCATCCATCCATGACTTCTTATTCATGTGTCATCCATCCATGACTTCTTATTCCTCCTCCACTCCTCTGGTGGTGTGTGCTGATTGATATGCTTGAAGGCCATGGCTTGAAGGCCAGACCACAAAGGGTTTCATTTTGTAGCCTGCAACATTGTCTCAGAGCAAGACGGTTATCCTGTCCTTAAAAGCCTTGAAACCTGGCATTGACTTGGCCTCCTTATGGATGAAAGTCCTTTCAGGCATCTGTTTCCAGAATAGGGAAGATTTGCTCTGGCAAGTAATTTTCCTCTACAATCAGCTTATCTAGAGTTTCCAAAAATTCTTCACATCAGCACTTGCAGACGCACCACTCACATTTTCATTATGTAATGAATAATGATTCATGAATTGTTTAAACCACCCAGTGCTAGCAGTAAACTCAACATCATAGTCGGGTCCAGCCTTTTCTTTCAGCATTGTAAAACCAACTTTTTGCTTAAACTGTGATCATCCTGGTGCTGAGAGGGACCTTGTGTGTCCGGTCTTCAATCTAGGTCAATAGAAGTTTCTTCATGTCTGATTTGGGCCCATCTCGAATTTTTGTTGGTCTTTTTTTTTTTTTTTTTTTTTTTTTTTGAGACAGTCTTGCTCTGTCACCCAGGCTGGAGTGCAGTGGCACGATCTCAGCTCACTGCAACCTCTGCCTCCCAGGTCCCAGCGATTCTGGTGCCTCAGCCTCCCGATTAGCTGGGATTACAGGTGCATACCACCATGCTTGGCAAATTTTTTTGTATTTTTAGTAGAGACGGGGTTTTGCCATTTTGACCAGGCTGTTCTTGAACTCCTGACCTCAGGTGATCCGCCAGCCTCAGCCTTCCAAAATGCTGGGATTACAGGCATGAGCTACCACGCCCAGTCCCATTTTTGTTAGTCTTGTTACCTTCAATGAAGCAGTTCCTTAAACAACTCCAGTCACTTTGTTCTTGTTCAAGATCATAGCTGCAGGAATGGGACATGCTTGCCTAGTGAGCAACAACCATCACTTTCAATTTCATTTTTTCATTTCCTGGTCAGTCACTCTACGTGGCCTCTTACTGGTAACATTAGCTGTCGATTTTGTGCACTTAGGGGCCATGATGGACAGAACAAGAGCACAAGAGAAAATGATGCAGCCACAAGTCTTGGTAAACACAGATGTATGAGGCTGCTTCTGGGCTAACATGGCATCCTGCTTTACAGCAAACTTTTCTTTCATTATTATAGATTCAGGGGGCACATGTGCAAAGTTGTTTGCCATCTCAACCACAGCTGTGTTGATTTTTGCAACCTCCTCAACCTTGGCAAATCCTTTGACGTCATAGATAAATCTCTCGAGTGTCTTCTTGCAGATGCCATTTATATACTCCTTGGTGACATCACCCCAAGCCTAAGCAAGGTTCTTAGTGTACTTATAGATGTTGTAATTCTTCCAGAACTTATCAGTATCTTCTCAGTGTCTTCCTCAGTTGCACTGATGGGTATATTGTGTAATGGTGAGGTTTGGGCCTCCATTGTATCCGTAACCCAAATAGTGAACATTGTACCCAACAGGTAATTTTTCAATACTCAATCCCTTCCCACTCTTCCCCCTTTTGGAGTCCCCAGTGTCTATTATTCCCCTCTATATGTCCATTTGTACTCATCGTTTAGCTCCCACTTATTGGTGAGAATATGCGATATTTGATTTTCTGTTTCTGAGTTATTTCCCATAGGATAATGGCTTCCAGTTCCACCCATGTTGCTGCGAAAGACATGATTTCATACTTTTTAATGGCCATATAGTATTCCACGGTGTGTGTGTGTATATATATATACATATATATATATATCTCCACATTTTCTTTATCCAATTATCCATTGATGGACACTTAGGTTGATTCCATGACTTTGCTATTGTGAATAGTGATGTGATAAACATATGAGTGAATGTGTCTTTTTTATATAATAATTTATTTTTTGGGGGTAGATATCCAGTAGTGGAATTTCTGGGTTGAATGGGAGCTTATTTTTGGTTCTTTGATAAATCTCCATACTGTTTTCCATAAAGGTTGTTCTAATTTACATTCCTACCAGTAGTGTTCCCTTTCCTCCACATCCTTGCCAACACATACTGTTTTTTGACTTTATAATAATAGCCATTCTGACTGGTGTAAGATGGGATCTCATTGTAGTTTTAATTTGCATTTCTCTGATGATTAGTGATGTTGAGCATTTTTTCATATGTTTGTTGGCCACTTGTATGTCTTCTTTTGAGAAATGTCTGTTTATATTCTTTGCCTACTTTTTAATGGCGTTATTTTTTTTTTCTTGTTGAGTTGTTTGAGTTTCTTGTAGATTCTGGATATTAGTCCTTTGTCAGATGCACAAACTTTTTATAAGCAGAAGGAATACACTCTAAAATAATGATAAAGCATAGTAAATATATAAATCAGTGACATAGACATTTATTATTATTATCAAGTATTATGTACTGTACAGAATTGCATGTGCTATACTTTCATACAACTGATGGCATAATAAATTTGATTAGACCAACATCACCGCAAGCAAATGAGTAATGCGTTATGCTATGATCTTATGATGGTTATGATGTCATTAGGTGATAGGAATTTTCCAGCTCCATTATAACCTTATGGGATCACTATTGTAGGTTTTTGTGGTCCATCATTGACCTAAACATTATGTGGTATGTGATTGTATTATGATAATTATGAACAGTCCAAAAAACAAAATGAATAAATAAATAATACAGAGGCTTTAGAAAGTGAAGATTGCCATGAAAAAATGAAATAGGGGAAGTGGGTAGGGAGTGCTGAGATGATGGGTGTTGTGATTTTAAATAGGAGGTCAGAGGAAGCCTCACTGGGAAAGTGACATTTGAGCAAGGACCTGAAGAAGGGAGGGAGTTGACTGTGTGGATAAGGGGAAGAGCATTCCAGGCAGAGGGAACAGCCAGTGCAAAGGTGGGTGCCTCCCTGCTGTGCTCATGGAACAGTGTAACTGAGGCAGTGTGAGCAAGAGGGAATGTGGGAGGAGATGAGGTTGGTGAGATCATGGGGCAGATTGCACAGAGCCTTGTAGACCACTGTCAAGTCTGTGAAGTAGGGCATCTCTGGAAGACTTTGATGGAGGAATAGTGGGATCTGATTTTAAAATCTTATTTTATATATGTATTTTTTATTTTATTTATTTATTTATTTTGAGATGGAATCTTGCTCTGTCGTCCTGGCTGAAGTGTAGTGGTGCCACCTGGGACCACTGCAACCTCCACCTCCCCAGTTCAAATGATACTTGTGCCTCAGCCTCCCAAGTAGTTGGGGCTACAGGTGTGTGCCACCATGCCTGGCTAATTTTTGTATTTTTAGTAGAGACGGGGTTTTGTCATGTTGGCCAGGCTGGTCTTGAACTCCTGACCTCAAGTGATCTGCCCACCTCGGCCTCCCGAAGTGTTGGGATTGCAGGTGTGAGCTATAGTGCCTGGCCATCTTATTTTATTTTTAGCAGGACCATTCTGTCTGCTGTGTTGACAGTAGCCTGCAGGGCATTAAGGACAAAGGCAGGGAGACCCATTAGAAAACAGTTACAATGATCTGGGTGAGAGAAGACGATGCCTCCTTCCAGGGTGTCAGCTGTGCAGGTGATAAGAGGTGTTTGGATGCTGGACATATTTTGCAGGCTGAGCCAACAGGATTGCTGATGGATCGTATGGCTTGTTTGTCTGTAAAATGCTCTAATGAAAACAAATGTTTTGCTGTATCTGTAGGAATGGCTGCTAAGTGTTTGATCTATTGGGGCAAGATCAATTTGTTGATAGGTAATGGTTCCTGTTGGACTGGTGCCCAGATTGCCAGATTAATTGACCTTCCAGGCCAACGGCGCCTCATGGTCCATCTACTTGGGCTTGGAGGAAGGGGGAAAAGATGCTGATATTAACAGTTAACATTGAGAACTCACTTTATACCAGGCACTGTGCTTAACACTCATATCTCATGTAGTAGATAGATTATCTTTGTTATGTACTTAGCCATTTTTTGAAACAATCACAAATTTACAGAAAAGTTGTGAGTACAGCACCAGAATTTTTTTCCCACTGAATCACTTGAGAGTAAATTGCTACCTCCTACTGCCCCATCACCTAGAAATACTTTAGTGTTTATGTCCCACAAACAAAGATATTCTCCTGCTTAGCCACATTACAACCATCCTAACCAAGAAATGAACGTGAATGCATCACGACCATCTAGCCCACAGGAAAGTCCTTTGGAGTGAAAGGATCTCACCTAGAATCAGGCATCACATTTACTTGTCATATATCCTTAATCTCCTTCAGTTTGGAATGCTTTCTCAGACTTTCTTTGACTTTCCTAACCTTGACACTTTTGAAGATTATGGGCCAGTTTTCTGTTGAATGTCCCTCAGATTTGATTTATCTGATGTTTTCTGATGATTAAATTCAGGTTGTGCATCTTTAGCAAGAGTATTACAGAAGGGATGCTGGTTTCTCCTTGCATCTTGTGGGGTGGCACATGATTTTGATCTGTCTCATTACTGATGGTATTCAATTTGATCACTTGATTAAGGTAGTATCTGCCAGGCTTCTACAAGTAAAGTTATCCTTTTCCTTTTTATAATTGGTATCTATTTTGTGGGAGATACTTTGAGGCTATGTAAAAATCCCATTCCTCATCTAACTTTATCTTTCTGTCAATCAATCTATCTATCCATCAGTTGATCACTGTATGGACTCATTGTTGTGGATTTCATTTAATGGGGTTCTAACTATCATTGTCCCTGGTTTGGCCAGTAGGAGCTCTTTCACGCTGACTCCTAGGTCTGTTTGATCTGTCTGCATCATTCTTCGGGTGCCCCTTTGCTTTCTGGTACAGGATACTCCAGTTTCATCTTGCACTTTTCTTGCTCCAGCCCTGCTATCAGTCATTTCTCCAAAAAGCCCTGTCTCTTTTTAGTGGTGAATGGTTTTTAGAAGCTAGGATCTGGGTATGAGGTGTGCTCATCAATATTGGGGTATTGCTTTTTCCAGGTCCTCTAAGAGACAGAAGTAGGGAAGATATGGATATGAATATATAAGCACACATACATATGTAAATATATACATATTATATGCATTGATAAACAAATATATGCATATTATGTATCTATGCATTGATAAATATATACATAAATAAATATACAGACATGCATAATCAATCTATATATATCAATGTACATCAGTCTATATATTGAAAACCATAGAACTCTAATTCTAATTCAATGCCACAGAGTTTATTCTAGTTTTCTCCCTTTCTATATTTGTAACTCCCTTATCTAATATTGACTAAAGTGACACACATTATTCTTACTCTAGTTGCTTATTTGATTAATCTTCCTATATGTGAACAGTCTGCTTTCTTGGCCACACCCCCTGCCCCATACCAATTCCCTTCTCATCCTACTCCTGACCTCTCCCCATCTCCTGTCTTGCTCTGTACCACCTGATGGCTGCCAAAAGGAAGCAAAAAGGAAAAGCTATAAAAACTATTTTTTGGTTGGGTGTGGTGGTTCACCTCTGTAATCCCAACACTTTGGGAGGCTGAGGCAGGAGTGTCACTTGAGGCCAGCAGTTTGAGGCTATACTGAGCTATGATTTCACAATTGCACTCCAGCCTGGGTGACAAAGTGAGACCCTGTCTCCAAAACAAACAAACAAAAATCCCAAAACTATTTTTTAAATCCTATTTTATAGATGGAAAAACTGAGGTCCAGGAAAGATTAAGCAACACGCCCACAGCTAGTGTGCAGTGGAGGAGGGGTTCAAATCTATGAAGTCTAGTTCCAGCTCTTGCTCTTAATTAACCCTTAGGTCACACTGATCTATGCACAGGGTGGTGAATAGATTCTCATGGGATCTGACAGCTGGGCAGTAGAGCCTCAGGAGAATAGACAAGCTCTGGTCATCTACCAGTTGGCTTGGTACCATCTTTAGAACAGGGAAAGGAGTCTGCCTTCATTCCATCACGGGCTCACTTCTGGCCTCATAGAGGCTTAGTTTCCTTAACTGAAAAATAGAGATAATTATAGTGCCTACCTCAGAGGGTTCGTGTGAAGAGGCAACGTGATTATGTATGGAATGCGTCATCTAGATACACTCTCGGGTCCCTGAGCCTCAGACCCATGCTGTACCCACTCTTATGGAATACAGAATGGTGGCTGGGAGCAGGATGAGATCTTGGGTGCCTCACTTAGCTTTTTGGTGCCTCAGTTTCCTCAAGTGCAAAATAGAAGTGTGGGATTTAAAGTCAGACAGACCTAAGTTCAAATCTTGGATCTACTACTCACTTGATAGATGGCCTTGAGCAAGCCAGAGCTACTCCCTAAGCCTTAGTTTTTCCATCTGACAAGGGGGATAACTACAGCCCCTGCTTTCTTAGGCAGGTGTGTGGATTCTGTGGAGGAAATTTGTGTAGAGGACCTAGCAGATAACTGGCCCATAGAAAGTGGTTGGTAAATGTGCACCTGGGATTCTTGTTTAGGTTTTAGGAAATAGCGTGTTTTATTTAAAAGGCAAAAATAGCAAGTAGAAACACTATTTGGTCTATACATATGGAAGGGATCTTCCTGGAAGGAAACAGTTGTCCTCTCATTCTACAGATAGGCAACTGAACCTCAGAAATGAGTGAGAGGCTCTTGATAGGAAGCAGCTGTGGGCTGCAGAGTTTTGTCTCCTGTTCAGTCTTCAGAATATTCCCTTAAGAGTGGATGTGCTACCTTCTGTGAGCAATTAAGGAAGTGATTTTGGAAGCACTTCCGCTGATTAAAATGAAAACACTTTGTTTCTGTGGCAGCATTGAACAAACTCCCCCCAGCCACCACCCACCCCCCAAATAAAAGGACCCAGTGCATTTTGGGTTGGTGGCCATCGCAGCTGCACCTGAGGTGCAGCTGTACACCTGAGGTGTTTGAACATCAAAGCAGGGATCATCCCCTCCTCTCTATACAATGGGGACAAAATTGCTTTCTTCTGACTGAGACATAATTGCGTCAGAATCTCAGTAGGGACAAGGGAGGACAAAATGCTGAAAGTCATTCTGTACCTCTGCAAAGTTATTTACTCTAAAAGCATTGAGCAGAGCAGCTTTGCTTTCTTTGGGTTTTGATTAACTTTTCTTTTTTGGTCTACCACGTATTGAGTGCTTACTGCGTGAGTGACTCTGTATGAAGCTCTTTATCTATTGTAAGGGAGTGTTTCCCTGGCGTGTCTCCCATTTGACTCACTCCAGATTAATCACTTCTCCAATTAAGTCTAACTCCAAAGAAACACAATGCTGGACAAAGAAGTTTTAGCATGAGATACATTTATATATCCATCCATCCATCAGTCCATCCATTCATCCATCCATCCATCCATCCTGTGAGAAAAGTATTGTTATTTCCATTTATAGATCAGGAACCCAAAGCTCAGAGAGGTTGTGATGTGTCTAAGATCAAACAATGAGAAGCAGTGCTGGCTTTTGCTATATGCAAAATGGGAGCTCATTCCTCTCCCACGGTCTATGGCAGAGGTCAGCAGGCATTTCTTGGAAGGGGCCAGTTAGCAATTATTTTAGGTTTTGCAAACTATATGGTTTCTCTCTCAATTGCTGAATGCTATATGGTTTCTCTCTCAACTGCTGAACTCTGAGTGAGTTCAGTACCAAAGCATTGTGGCAGGGAAGCAGCCATAGACAATATATAACTGAATGGGTGTGGCTGTATTCCAATAAAACTTTGCTTACAAAAAAAAAAAAAACAGGTAGCAGGCCAGATTTGACCCATGGGTCATAGTTGGCCAACTCCTGCTTTACAGTCCTGTTAATCATGGTGGCCCATTCTTCCCAAACCCCTAGTTATAGGGGTGGGTGCATGACCAGGCTGGGGCAATCAGAGGAGACTTCTCTGGGATTGAAAAATTTGTGGTGAAGAAGTATCCTTTCCACTGGGTTTCTAAGCTAGAAGAATATGAACATGGAGCTGGAGGTGGCTATCATGTAGAGTGAAGCCAAGCAGAGATGAGGATGGCTAAGTGATTGGTGTGTGTGTGTGTGTGTGTGTGTGTGTGAAAGAGAGAGAGAGAGAGCGAGAGAGAGAGAGAGAAAGATTAATTAAGCTTCTGGATTAAACCAAGCCTGATCTGAGTGAAACATATACCCTTAGATTCTCCAATAATGTGAGCCCATAAATTCTTTGTTTTAGTGGTGGGGACAGGATCTCACTTTGTTGCCCAGGTTGGAGTACAGTGGAGCAATCTTGGCTCACTGCAGCCTTGAACTTCTGGGCTTAAGCGATCCTCCCACCTCAGTCTCCTGAGTAGCTGGCACTACAGGTGTGTGTTACCATGCCTGACTAATTTATATATATGTATTTTGTAAAGATGGGTTTTTGCCATGTTGCCCAGGATGGTCTTGAACTCCTGGACTCAAGCAATCCTCCCACCATGGCCTCCCCTTAGCTGTGACCATAGACATGCACCACCATGCCCAGCTAATTTACTTATTATTATTATTTTTTATAGAGACAGCGTCTCACTATGTTGTTCTGGCTGATCTTGAACTCCTGGGCTCAAGTGATTTTCCTGCCTTGGCCTACCAAAGTGCTGGGATTACAGGCATGAGCCACTGTGCCTGGCCCCATAAATTCTTATTTATTCATTTATTTGCTAAAATGGGTTTGAATTGGGTTTCTGTCATTCAAAATCAGGAGTCCAGACCAATACACCCCCAGCATGTTGGCCTCATTGTCTCCTGCTACTGTCTCACTTTTTCCATGTGATGAAAAATGCTCACCCCAAAGCTACAGAATCACATCTTTCCAGCATATAAACCAAGAGAAAGAGGTAGTCTTCCTCACTAGTTTTACTAGAACATCCCAAAGAAGACCACTGTCCATTCCTAAAAGCTCACTTTGTTCAGAAGGATGGCAGACTCTGATTGACTAATTGGCTGGGTCTGGGTCAAAGGCCTACTCCATGGTTGGGAGTGGGATGGGGAAAGAAGTGTGGGGGGCATGTTCTGAGAAGCTCAAGCCAGCAGTTGCCAAGGGGAATAGTTTTTGAGCTGAGTCTTGAAGAATATGTAGGTAAAAGGTCAAAATATTTCAGGACAAGGGAAGAACGTGTGCAAAACCTTAGAGAGGGGTACAAGCGAAATGCTGGGAGTTCATATGGCTTAAGCATGGAGTACATGTGGAGTGGTTGGAGGCAAGAAAGGGTGAAGGTCAGACCAGGAAGGAAGAAGGCAGAGGACTTTATGAGCCATGATGAGGAGTTAGGATTATGTCATGAAGGCAATGGGGATATATTTGGGGGATTTAAGCAGGAGGTAAACAATCAGGTTCTCTCTCCAGAAAGTAGTTTTTGGTCGAAGGTTGGAGAATGGGCAGAACTGGATGGCAGGGAGACCAGTAAGGAATATTTGTAGTTATCCAGGCAGGTGGAAGTAAATGTGGGGTGTGAAACATATCTTCTGGATGTAATAGTTGAAAACAAATCTCCTATATATAGTTTACTAGAAGCCTGGAAGAGGTAAATGGGAAGTGCTGCTGGATTGGCCCCCTGGGGGTTTTGGTTCCAGTGAATTGTCCTTGTCTTCATTATAAGGGAAAGAGAGAGAGGGGCTGAAACCTAGGGTTGTGGAGGGCAACTTCAAGTTTTGAATGGAAGGTAGCAAGAGAGGTCATCCGCTGGTAACTGTAGATGATTTTTGTGCTTTGTGTCACATCCCCTCTGCGCAACCTGATTTCAGCACTGAGAGGATGGACAGCACCACGACCCCGTGTCTTCTATGGACAGCGCACCCACTGCACGGCCTCTATGTTTTTCTGTTTCAGAGATCTCTTCTATATCACAGAAGGCTCCTCAGTCTGTGGCTGGAAGAGCTGGGGACTTAACACTCTCAGAAGTCTCTCTCGTTCCATGGCGGGGGTGGGGGGGATAAGAATTTGTGGATAAATACCCCAGGTTGTCCTTCAGAGGGACATTGTGAGGCACATTACACATGGTCCATTTGAGGCTCCCCAGCAAGGTTAAGTCATAGTTGCCCACAGAGGTAACCAGCTCACTAACACATCTTTAACGGATTTTCTTCCCTTTTCATCTCACTTTCCTACTGCCTCATCCCTGTACCGAGGATCACCTCCCAAATAAACGATCTGTACCCCAGTCCATATCACAGGCTTTGCTTTTGAGGGAGTCCAGACCAAGATGGCCTCCAACTTGGACTCCAGGAACAAATGCCTCTGCTCATGTGAAACAGAGCTATGACTTTGTAGGACCTGTAAACACAGGGAATGTCAGCAACAAAAGGGGACTTAGAAACAATCCAACCCTATCTCATTATTGAACTTAGTGTGTCAGAAGGGCCATATTGTCCTACTGACTTTCAGGACTCAGACTATCCAAGCTTGAATCCTGGCTGTTCTATTTACTAGAAATCGACTAATCACTTAACCTTCTTATGCCTCAGTTTCCTCATCTGTAAAGTAGGGATAATAATTGTCCTTATCTTAGAGGTTAAATTTTGTGAAGATTAAATAAGTAAACCTAGGTAAAGGGCTGAGAACAGTGCCTGGCACAAGGTCAGGTATTCTATATGTTTTAATTGTTGTTATTATTTAATTTCTGTTGTTTGTTTGAATTTGAATGTTTGCTTGATTTGGGCTATTATCAGGCTTTCCTCAAATTTCTTTTATCCTTTCTTCCCCAATCTCAGGCTCTCCTGTCAGAGTTTTGGTCTATCTCCTTCATTGCATAAGGAGATTAGACTTATTTTAGGAATATCAGTTGTGAATTCATTTGATAAAAAGGAAGGATTGTCTTGTGATGTGAGTGACCTCCCATAACTGTTTCATAAACTCAGATTTTAGAAACATCAGATTTCCTGAAAGTTACTTTGCCACTGCAAAGCCTTCCTGAGCCATGTACAGCCTTTGAGGCAGGCACAGTTATTTCAAAGGCACAAAGCCACTGGTTGGTCAGGTGAATCTAAGTGAACTTAGGGTGAAAAGCATGAAGTTCAAGACTAGCAGGCCAGCTCCCTTGCTACTTACTCGACACATGCATTGATGTATCAGACAACTCCAACTGCTTGCCTTTACCTGAGTTGGGAGTCAGGTTCTGCAGATTCAGCTGTGGCTGCAGCCACAATGTAGGTCACTGACAGGAAATTATCTTGCTGCTGTTTCAGACAGAAATGGAACTTAATAGCTTATGTCTTTTTTCCTCTGCTGTGTGGTGCCAGGGGCATTTTAGTCGTTCAGGGAAGGTAGGGGATATGTCTAAAAGCCTTGCCTTTTAGGGTCCTATTTCATCCATCAGATGTGACTACATTCTGGATTTTCTTCCCTGGCCAGTCTTTGGTCCTCATTGCCATCAATTCTCCTTGCTTTGGAACCAGCCTGTGCCTCCCAGCTCTGACACTTACAGCTGCTGTGGGCTTCACCTGAAACTTCTCATGTTTAACTGCTACAATCCAGCTGAGCAGTTGATGATGTGAAAATAGGACTGCTTTAGTTCCCCCCTTCACACTTGGAACCTGGGGAAATAAGCGGCAGGAAGACTTTTTTTGTCAGCTGCAAGTTTTTTTCTGGTCAAAGCAAACTGAATTAAAAAGCAGTGGTTGAAGTGGCAAAGATGCATGAATCAGAGAGCTTGGTGGGGAAGAGATGTCTGCACTTGTGAAGTAGGTTCTTAGAGGTAAAATGGGGAAAGGGAAGGGTCTCTCAGTGCTACTCCCAGCACATCTACTTTGCTCCAAAGCAAAAGTCCTGAGAAACTGGGTAAACCACATTTCTGGAGCCCAACTCTTAATGTCATTGTTACCATATGTTCAAATGGGTTTTATTTTCATCATGACTGATTTCCAGTCAGCAAGGACTTAGCTTTAATTCATTCTCCATCACCATTTAGAATCACTGATCTGATCCTGTGTACCTACAACATCTCAATGGCTTCCAAGGCTCTTAAAATAAAGACCTGAATCCTCACCATGGGGACCTTACTTCACCTCTGCAGCCTCATCTCAAGCCACTCTCTGGTTCTCTGCTCCAGCCACAAAGGCTTTTTCCAAGTTCCTTAAAAGCAGAGTGCCTCACCTCTTCTGCTGCAGGACCTGTGTGCATGTTATTTTTCTCTGCTTTATCTCTCTTCCTTTCTAGGTAATCTCATTCAGTCTTAAGGTTTTAAATGCTATGGATGTGCAGGCAACTCCCAGATACATATCTCTAGCCCCAACTTCTACCCTGTGGTGCCAAATGGTATATATACCTAGGAATTATATATATACTCACATCTTCACTTAAATGTTCATTAGGAAGCTCAAATAATATGTCAAAAGTTGCCTTTAATTCTTCCTCCCACCCTGGACCCTTTTTTCTCCAAGTGTTCATCTTGGCAAATGGTATGACTCTCCACCTAATTGCTCAGGCAGAAAATGCAGGAGTAATTTGTGATTTTTTTTTCTATATAAGTCAGGGTCCCAATGGGAAATATGGCACACTGAAATCAGGATAATTTAAGGACAAGTTATATATAAAGGGACTGATTAAAAAGATGTGAATGAAGAGAACACCTAGGGACAGTGCAGGGACCCAGGGCTAGAAGCAAAAGAGCTATCACCATTCATGGGCAGAGATGAATAAAGAGAGAGAGAGAGAGAGAGAGAGAGAGAGAGAGAGAGAGAGAGAGAGAGAGAGAGAGAAATTACTGGAACACAGAAGGAGAGAATTGTTTAGAGCAGGCCACCTTGGAGGATCACTGAAGTCAGGAGACACAGCCATCCTGAGGCAACTTTGCAAAGAAAGAGTTGGGGACAAATATCTTGACCTCATTCTCCTGCTTCATCTGATCTCTTGCTCCCCATTGGAACAGTGGATGGCCTGAGAAGGAACTAATAAAATGTTGAATGAATGGATGGCAAGTTCTCCCCTTCTGTTTTGACCTAGTTAAGCCCACTATGTTCTTCAGACTTCAGATCAAATGTCTCTTCCTCCAGGAAGTCTTCTCTGACTTCCCTAGACAAGATCACCCCCATGTTATACACTTCCATGGCTTCATTCATAGCCCCACTGCATATTGTAATTATACATTCGTGTGATTATTTAATTGATCTATCTCTTCATGGCCAAGCTGTAAGATCCATGGTGGCAGGGATCATATTTATCTTACTCACCATTCATCCCCTGCACCCAGCACAATGCCTGTCCTACAGGTGGCCCCCCAAAATGTTTATGAAATAAATAAATCAAATTTCTTTAAGATTGTTCATCTTGAACAGGTAGATAATGATCTATAAAGAGCTCTTAGAGCGACCAGTGATGCTTTGGGAAAAGTCAGCAACCTTCCAATTTTTCTCTGTAAACTGAGTTTCCCTCTGGTTCATTTTAAAAAGTAAATGGCATCAATGATAAACTGGGTAAATAAAATGTGGCACATATACACCATGGAATAGCATGCAGCCTTAAAAAAATGAGTTCATGTCCTTTGCAGGGACATGGATGAAGCTGGAAGCCATCATTCTCAGCAAACTAACACAGGAACAGAAAACCAAACACCACATGTTCTCACTCATAAGAGGGAGTTGAACAATGAGAACACATGGACACAGGGAGGGGAACATCAAACACCAGGCCTGTCGGGTGGTGGGGGCAAGGGGAGGGAGAGAATTAGGACAAATACCTAATGCACATGGGGCTTAAAACCTAGATGATGGGTTAATAGGTGCAACAAACCACCATGGCACATGTATACCTATGTAACAAACCTACATGTTCAGCATATGTATTCCAGACTTAAAGTTAAAAAAAAAAAGTAAGTGGACAGAGAATGAATTAGCAGTGCAGCATCCTCAATGCTGCCCTGATTCGACATCCTCAGAACTCCTCATGGCTTTTATTTTTTGGGTTCAGAATAGAATACCAACATGGATTTACATGCAGACATTTGTCTCCCCTACAGCTTCATGAGCAATGAAAATGAATAAGACTCCTTCTCTTTCTTCTATTTCAATTCCCATCTAAATCCACCAGACAGCAATACATCAATGATAACCAGAGTTGCTGGGTAAGGTTGTGTAGGTTGCTCACTGCTCAAGAGTAAGAGGTCATTGGGAATGAAGTCCAGCCCAAACTCCGTTTACCACAGGAGGCAGGGCTGGAGGAAGAGCTCCTTTTCTTAATTTGCACAAAGGGCCGTATGAACTAGCAGTGGTCCTGAAAATGACAATTAGGAGTAAAGGTGGCTTGTGATAGATACCTCAATTATCCTAATTTGATCATTCCATGTTGTAAACTTGTATCAAAACATCACATATACTCCATAAATATATACAATGATCATGTGCCCATAATAATTAGTTTAAAAATAATAAAGCTGACTTGAGTTCAAAGAAATGTTGGCCAAAAAGCCTGATCAATACACTGTCATCTGCTCATTGTGGCCATGAATGCTTAAAAGTTTCCCCATGATTGTTTTATTTAATTACAAAGATAATACACATTTTCATAAATTAACCCACATCGCAAGGAAATAGAGTAAAAAGTGAAAGAATTCTCTCACCCTCTCACAATCCACAAAGCCAATCACTATTAGGAGTTTTCTTGGCCTACTTTCAGATTTTTAAAATGTTTTTATAAACATATTTTCTAGAGCATACACACATGTGATCAACATTCATGATTTACATAAATGAGATCATACTGTGTAGATTGTTCAGCTACTTGTTTTCTTTGCTAATATATCTTGTACGTTTTTCTTGTAGCACTTAAGGGTCTACTCATTCTTTCTTTTTTGTGGCCATAATATTCTATTGTATGGCTATAGCATAATTTTTTTCAAATGTGTTAATGAAAATGACTACAACAGCAATTGATACTTCCTCTTTGCTGGATATTATAGCATAATTTATTTAATCAGTCTCCAATTGATGGATATGTGGATTTTTCCCAATGTTTTGTTACTATAAACAATGTTATAGTGTCCATGTTTGATATATATTTTTCAGTACATGCACAACTATTTCTGTAGAATTTATTTTCAGAAATAGTATTGATGGATTAAAGAATGTGTGTATTTAAAATGTTAGACATTGCCAAAAACCTTCTTAAGAGGCGATATCCATTTACTCATCCACTTATAGGAAGCCAAAAGCTTTCAGCTCTTTGCTTCTTTGTTTTTTCTCTGAGATGGAGTCTCGCCTTGTCGCCCAGGCTGGAGTGCAGTGGTGCAATCTCGGCTCACTGCAACCTCTGTTTCCTGGGTTCAAGTGATTCTTGTGCCTCCACCTCCCAAGTTGCTGGGATTACAGGTGTGCACCACCATGCTCAGCTAATTTCTGTATTTTTATTAGAGATGGGATTTCAACATTTTGGCCAGGCTGGTCTCGAACTCCTGACCTCAGGAGTTCTGCCTTGGAGCTCTTTTCTACTGATCTCTTGAATAGCACACAAAATAAGAGGGTATATATATTAGTTAACTATTACTAGTTAGCTATTACTATGTAGCAGACCACCCAAAGTCTTAAGACAACAACCATTTATTTAGTTCATGATTTTGTGAGTTACAGATTTAAGCTGGATTGAACAATGGGTTGTCCTTTAGGTCTGGGCTGGGCTTACCTGGTCTTGGCTGGGTCTCATCTGTCTTAGTCAGCTGGGGGCTAGGTGATATAGGATGATTTTGGCTGGGATGAGTTATATCTGCTTCACGCAGTGTTTACCATCTATTTCAAGCTTGTTCTCAGTGACAGTTCTCAAGAGAGAACAAAAGCACACAAAGTCTCTTGAGGCACAGGTTTGGGGTTGCACACCATCACTTTCATGACACTTCAGTGGCCAAAACAAGACACGAGGCCAGCCCAGATTTAAGGGGTGGGAAAACAAACCTCACCTGTTGATGTGAGGATCTGCAAAATCGTGTTGCAAAGGGCGTGCATATAGGGAGAACATTAACTAGGACCATGAATGCAATTAATCAACCACAGGGGGGAGATGCCCAAGTTTAGTTGTTAAAAAAAAAAATCTTGACATTAAGATATTGTTCAGATTTCTGAGCCACCAGCCATGAGCCATTTACTTTAATGATTAGATTTAAAAGGTAGTGGGTGATTGTGTCTGACTTTGAAAAATGAACATGAAAGCACTTGGCAGGGGCCAGTTCCTACTCTGGCCTCTTCATATTAATTAGATACAGATTTGGCTGTTATCAGGAGACCCAAAATGAGATAAAAGATTATTTCTTTCTCAGTGAGAGTCTTGGAAAGCAGTCCAGGATTAGCGTGGTAATTTCCCAATCACCAGGATTCCAGGCACCTTCTACTTGGTTGCTTTGCCATCCTCAGCTCGTGGCTATCATTTCATGGTCTAAAATGGCTATTCCAGTTCCTGCCATCACATCTACATTCCAGTAAGAAAGAAGGAAGGGGAAATGGAGGCATACCTCTTCCCTTTAAAATAACTGCCCCAGAAATTGCACACATTACTTCTGTTCACATCTCATCAGTCAGAAATTCTCATGGCTACAGCTAGCTACAGCTAGTTCGGGTGGCTTTGTGCCCAGGTAAAATTCAAGGAATTTATTACTAAAGGAAGAAGGGAAGAATGGATATTGAGGGACAAGGCCTATGTTCCCTATTGTAATTTCCCCAGGCAGACCAGAGCTTTATGAATAATTGCCAGTCAATGAGCTAAAGACCAGACCTGCAGCATGGGAATTAGAGGCACTATTCAGCTTACAAATTACAGAGTAGCAGAGAGTACATGAGTAGCCTCTGGAGGCCAACAGACTGGGGCTTTGTATTAGTCAGCGTTCTCCAGAAAAACAGAACCAATAGGATCTATCTATCTATCTATCTACACACACACACACACACACACCCCAATAGGATATATATACACACACATACATACATATATATGTATGTATGTATGTCCAAAATGTAGTGGCTTAAGACAACAACTATTTATTTAGCTAATGATTTTTTGACTTGCCTAAAATTTAGTGACTTAAATATATATATATTTATATATATATATATGAGAGAGATTGAGATTGAGATTTTAATGAACTGGCTCATACAACTGTAGGGGTTGGCAAGTGTCAAATCTGCAGGGCAGGCAGACAGGCAGGTTGGAGATTCAGGCAAGAGTTGATGTGGCAGTCTTGAGTCTGAAAGCTGGAAACTCAGGCCACATTTCTACCTTGCAATCTGGAGGAAGAATTTCTTCTTCTTTGGGGGACCTCCATCTTCGCTCTTAAGGCCTTCAGCTGATTAGATGGGGCTCACCCACATTACAGAGGGTAATCAGCTTTACCCTAAGTCTTCTGATTTAATTGTTGATCACATCTAAAACAAATGGTTCCACAGCAACATCTAGACTGGTATTTGACCAAACAACTGGGCACCATGGCCTAGCCATCACAGGCTTTGATACCAGTTTTGCTGGTGACTCACTGTGCAGTTCTCTGAGCTATGTCATTTCACAGGGTTATGGTGAGATGACGTGACACACCATGGAAAGGACTCAGCATAGCACTTGGCTCATGGCACACAGCTGCAGGTGCCTTGGTGCTCTCCCTATGGCCTCCTAGCACTCACCTCTGCACGCTGAAGGCTGTCCTCCCTGTGGGCTTCAGTCTGGTCCTGGGGGCATGCTCACTTGTCCTTAGGGTAAGGTGAAAGTGCCACATAGTTAATGTCCCTGGAAGTAGCCGTCAGACAGATTACATCTCGGGCGACCAGCCCTCCTGTTGTGCCCAGGACTGTCCCATTTTAGGGCTGAAAGTCTCGCTTCCGAAGAGACCTTGCAGTCCTAGGCCTCCCAGCGCAGGTGCATGGTCTACTTTGGCTCCCAGAGTCCCTACGGTTGCCTGTGCATCAGGTCAGCCAGAAGTGTCAAGGCATCCAGACCCCAAGTCAGCCCTCAATACTGATGGGGAGTTAATAACCAACTTACCTTCCCCCTGCTTGTGATTTCTTTGAGGTATGTCCTACACCAGGTCCTTGAGTTTCCCAGCAGGAGTTCACTGAAGGCACCCACAGCTCATTATGTCCACCATTTCCTGGCTTTCTTCCCTCTCTGTCTCATTTCCCATCCTCTCCAGGTGCTTCCTGGAAACCCCTTCCAAATAAACACCTTGTATTCTTCTGGAAGAACCAATCTCGGGCGATAAAATTAAAGAATTATTATCACCAAACACTTTGTTGTTCTCTCCTTTGAGCCTCAACTCACAGTAATGCTGTGAGGGAGGTGGGCCATGGATTATCATTCTTGTTAGGAGTATCATCATTTCCCTTTTTACTTTACATTTATCTATTTATTTTATTTTTTAGAGGTAGGGTCTTGCTCTGTTGCCTCGGCTGGTATACAGTGGCATGAACATGGTTCACTGTAACCTCAAACTCCTCAGCTCAAGTGATCCTCCTGCCTCAGCCTCTGGAGTAGCTGGGACTACAGGTGCATGCCACCATCCCTGGCTAATTTTTAAAATTTTTGTAGAGATGGGTTCTTTTTTAAAAACTAAAAAAAAAAAATCCGTGGGTACATAGTAGGTGTGTATATTTATGGGGTACATGAGATGTTTTGATACAGGCATGCAATGTGAAATAAACATATCATGGAGAATGGGATATTCATCCCTTCAAGCATTTATCCTTTGAGTTACAAACAATCCAATCACACTCTTTGTTTTAAAATGTACAGTTAAGTTATTATTGACTATAGTCACCCTCTTGTGCTATCAAATCGTAGGTCTTACTCATTCTTTCTATTTTTTTTTGTACCCATTAACCATCCCTACTTCCCTCCCCACACAGCCCCCCACTACCCTTCCCAGCCTCTGGTAACAATCTGTCTATTCTCTATCTCCATGAGTTTAATTGTTTTGATTGTTAGTTCCCACAAATAAGTGAGAACATGCAATATTGAGATGGATTCTTGTTATGTTGTCCAGACTGGTCTTAAACTCCTGGTTTCAAGCGATCCTCCCACCTCAGCCTTCCAAAGTGCTGGAATTACAGGTGTGAGGCACAGCACTCAGCCTATTTTTTAATTTTTTTGAGACAGGGTCTCTGTTTGTCACCCAGGCTGGAGTGCAGTGGCACGATCATAGCTCACTGTAGCCTCAAACTCCTGGTCACAAGCAATGCTCCTGCCTCAGCCTCCTGAGTAGCTGGGATTACAAGTGTGTGCCACCGCACTTGGCTAATTTTTCAATTTTTTGTAGAGATGGGGTCTTGCTGTGTTGCTCAGGCTGGCATTTTTATATAGCAACTGAGAAAATGAAGGCTCAGAGACTCAGAGCGGCAAGAGGCTGCCTAACGACTGAGGAGGGACAAAGAGGAGCCTCTGAGATGCATGCCAAGCCTTCTGGCTTCGTGTGCCACCCTCACCCCCAAGTCACTACGACCTCTTGTACAATTAGTGGATTTTGCTGCAGTGGGCATCACATGGCACACATAGGTATCTGATAATGCTGGACCTCTTTTGTTGGATTTGCAACAGCTCTGAGTGGAGGCGGTTTGGGCTCTGCCACCTTATGACTTTATTTTTACCTAAAGGGACCCCTGACACAGAGGAGAGAGGGATTGTTTTGAGGTAGCCTCCCAGGCTACCTCCTCCCCAGCATCCAGAGGTAGACAGTGCATAGATTTGTTATCTGTGACCCTGCTCCAGGGATCCATCAAGATATCAGGATAAGAGTGTTTTCATCCCACATGCCTGTAGATCAGATATCCGAGTTTTTATTTCAGAAGCCCGTGCAACAGAGGCACAAAAGCAGCAGGATAATCCCTTATCTGATGGGCAATAGAAAGTTATAAGCAGGGGTTTATTTGGGGGAAAAAAATCCACATTCTCTCTCAGGGGCTTTACTCCCTTGGTTTATTTTAAACATCACAAGAGAAAGTCAGGACTGGCTTTTCAGTTTGTCACAGTAGCTGTAGACTAAAGGATTCTGACGATAAGGTCCCTGGGGCAGCTTCCAAACCTGTAAAACAGTAGCAATCTCTCCCCGCTCCAAACAGGCAGCCTTTGCAGAAGCATTTTAACCAAATCCCTCTTTCTTTCATCTCTGTCAAAGCTAAAACCAGGCAGGTTTCATGTGTCTAAAGTTTTATTATTTGATACAAGAACTTGCTGCTTCCCTGCTAAAGGAAAGAGTTTTTTTTGTTGTTGTTGTTTTGTATTTCTCTGATGACTTATCCCTAGCATTTTCTCAGGAGGCATCATGGTTTTTCTGATACTGAGAACACTCTTTCACATCTCTTGGAGGTTCACAAAGGACCAAAAATGCTAGAACAAGTGCTAGAGGCTGACTTGCCACTCTCGGAAGGTATTTGCGGTGACTGTAGACTTTACTCAGGTCCAGGAATCCAACATTAATGGAACCATTAACTGGGTACCAGCAACGGTGCTCTATTTGGCCAGACAACCATATAAATATAGAGATGATTCTCCTCATCTTGCAGGTGAGAAAACTGAGACATAAGAGGCTTAAATGACCTGCTCAAGGTCCTCCTTCTCGTAGAAGGCAAAGCCTGGGTTTAACACAAGTTGGTTTGATTCAAAAGCGCATTCTTTTATTTTTGCTTTGCTTTATTACTCCAAAGAGGGCAAAAGTTTGTTTGGGAAGGTTTTTTGAGGGATCCTTGACCCCTGGGAGGCCTTGCTTTATGACTCTGGTTGTATCTGAAGGGCTGAAATTTTGGTGCAGGTATATGTTGCTGTCTGTGCAAAATTGCATTCTTAAAAATTGGATATTTTCAGGGTCATATGAGCCAGTTCTGGTGGTTCTATCAGTGAGGGTCCTATCAGGAAAATAGAAATGACACTGAGTTTTTAAGACAGAGAGATGTAAATGCAGGAACTGTTTAAATAGGGGGTGATGATGAAATCAGAGATCCAGCCATGGCAGAAAGCTGTCACTCCCTGAGGCTTGTGGGACAGAGAAAGGAAGGTAGAGTTCAGGAGCTGAGATCTCCTGGTGGAAGCTGGAGCCTGGGCAGTCCTGCCTGGCAGGAGCTGGAGCCACAGAGGAGATGCAACTCCTGTGAGGAAATCTGTCTGCGGCCCAGACTGGGGAGAAATATCCTGGCTTCTCCCTTCCTTGTGCCCTCTGATCTCTACGTGGGCCTCCCGTTGGCAGAATGGACCTGAAGCCAGTTAGCAAAGGAGCCCAGGCAACACCGAGAGGAGGGAGGCAGGATGTCCTCTGAGGGTAGACAGGGGTCCCAGGCTGGGACAGATGTTAACAGGATGCATACCATGCATCAGATTTACTTTCCCACTGTCTTGCCTTACAATGTCACCCAGGCTGTGTGCTCATTTCTGAGGTTCCCTACCAGCCACCAACACTTGGGTGCAAGGGCTCTTGGCCGAATCTGCTCATCAAAGCTGCCTTGGGCTTTCTCACCAAGTCTCTTCTCTGCTTTTCTCCCCAGCAGGGTTAAACTCACAAAGAAAACTGCAATCTTGGTGTGACTTTACTTGATTTCAAAATTGGATTCTGGCCCCAGATAATAACTTTAGATGCCAATAAGAGAGCGACTAGGCCTTCCTTTAAAATGCCACTTCATTCCCTTTTGTCGGCTCCCAGGAGCTCTCTGGAGGAAACCTGAAGAGGTGGGAGGAAATTGTGCAGGGAAAGGGCCCTTTTGCTGAGAGTAGTAAATTATTCAGGTACTCTAATGGCTTGGAGAATGCCAGGCCCGTCTCCCTCTTAGAGCACACCGTAGGCAGTGCTAATGACAGCTGGAAAAATGCCTTGCTCTGTGCATATGCAGAGAGACATCCTGGCATTCCTGTGAGCTCTTCTTGGAGGCTGGGCTGGACAGAAAGAGAAGCAGCTGGAGATTAAATGACAATATTAGGGAGGAAGGTTGAGGAAGAATGAGGGGCAAGGTAGCTTTTCTGCCTTGCTAACGATAAACACACTCTGGCTAGCCTGTATTTTTTGGATTTCTCCTGTGTGAGGTTCTCCGGTTCAGGAATTACCGCTGGCTGCAGAGTGATGTTTTCTGTGTTGATTTTTGATAGAGCTTCTTTATGGATCTGTAAAAAGATAGTTCCTCTCTGGTGAAGAGCCCAAGAAGTTGAGCAACTGGAAAAAAAATTACACCCAGCAAAGGAACCCCATGGTTTTTGGAGGCTGACACATCAAAGCCCTCTTGTGGAACAGGCCTTGCTTACAAGTGCGGCAAACAGGACCCAGCTCTCATCAAGGGTAATGGTGAAAACAAAAATAAAACAAGTACCATGGGACCCAGTGTCAAGAGCTTGAGCTTTCGCAGCACATAGGTGTGGAGCCTGTCATTTTCCCTCCCTCCTTCCCTTCCTCCCTCCCTCCCTCCCTCCTTCCCTTCCTCCCTCCCTCCCTCCCTCCCTCCCTCCCTCCTTCCCTCCTTCCTTCCTTCCTTCCTTCCTTCCTTCCTTCCTTCCTTCCTTCCTTCCTTCCTTCCTTCCTTCCTTCCCTCTTTCTCTTTTTTAGAGTTAGGGTCTTGCTCTGTCTCCTGGCATCAAATGATCCACCCGCCTCAGCCTCCTAAAGTGCTGGGATTACAGTTGTGAGCCACCCCACCCTGCGAGCCTGTAATGTTCTACCTGGATGACCTCGAATAGGTTGTTTGACAACCTAAGCCTCAGTTTCCTCTTCTGTAAAATGGAAACAAAATGAATCCCCACCTCACAGAATCCTGGCTTAAAAAGTATATGATGCTTGCAAGGCACACAGCCCAGAGCTTGGCACACGGCAAAGCAGCTAGCCTCGGCAGCCATTATCCTTGTGATTAATTCAGCAAACTCTAGAATGAGTTTTTCTCTCCAGGTGACAAAGTCTGTACTTGAGTTTTTCTTAATCCAGAACCTAGAACCAGAGATTAGAAATACAAGGGCAGGCCAGGCGTGGTGGTGCATGCCTGTAATCCCAGCACTTTGGGAGGCCAAGGTGGGTGGATCACTTGAGGCCAGGAGTTCGAGACTAGCCTGGCCAACATGGTGAAACCCTGTCTCTACTATTAGTAAAAATACAAACATTAGCCAGGCATGGTGGTGCATGCCTGTAGTCCCAGCTACTCAGGAGGCTGAGGCAGGAGAATCACTTGAACCTGGAAGGCGGAGGTTGCAGTGAGCTGAGATTGCACCACTGCACTCCAGCCTGGGCAACAGAGCAAGACCCTGTCGAAAGAAAGCAGCCTGGGCAACAGAGCAAGACCCTGTCGAAAGAAAGAAAGAAAGAAAGAAAGAAAGAAAGAAAGAAAGAAAGAAAGAAAGAAAGAAAGAAAGAAAGAAAGAGAGAGAGAGAGAAAGAAAGAAAGAAGGAAGGAAGGAAGGAAGGAAGGAAAGGAAGGAAGGAAGGGAAAGAAAGAAAGAAGAAACAAACAAACACAAGGGCAGTTATGAGGACAAGAGGAAAGGATATCTGAAACTTGATCGGCCTTGAATATCTAGGGTCTTTGTTCAGTCTGTGTTTAAAAGCAGAGGTAACGAAACAAATGCAGTCATATTGACAACACCAAGAAAATCAATGCCACGGAGGGTTTTCTATCAGGAAAAACATTTATTTATTCCTGCTTGGACTCATCTCCTGTTAAAATCTATAATGGTCTGGAAGTAGCCAGTTGTTTTCACCTGTTTTGCAGAACAGGCTGGAAGTAGGGAAGAAACCTGACGCAGGATTTAACAGCCTTTCAACAAATAATATTGGGTGCTGACTCCATGTCAGGTGTGGCGCTCAGAGGAGATGGGGACGGGACACAGCATCGTCATAGCATTGTCATATGTCTTCCTATATAACTCACAGTCTACTGGGGAAGCAGACCAGAAAACTAAGAATTGCAATTCTGCGTGACAGATTAGATAGAGCCCTGGAGCCTGTGAGAAGGGGTCTGTGTTCCGGGTGCTCTAATATTTTTCTTCTGTTTTTCTTTGTCCTTTCTGTCTCTATCCTTGGGCTACAAGCCACTCCACTTCCATTTTTCTCTTTTTGCAAACATCAGAATGCCAACTTCATTTCCATGGACCAACCTGCCCCCCACTGCAGGCTGGAACACACTCGCCCTGTGTGTCTGTTCTCTCCTGGAAGACAGAGTTTGTGGGAAGCCATGTGAAGGTGAGAGGATCTCTGGAGTTCCTTTACTTACCACACTTTTTTTTTTTTGAGACGGAGTCTCATTCTGTTGCCCAGGCTGGAGTGCAGTGGCGCAGTCTCGGCTCACTGCAACCTCTGCCTCCTGGGTTCAAGTGATTCTTCTGCCTCAGCCTCCCGAGTAGCTGAGACTACAGGCGCATGCCACGAGGCCCAGCTAATTTTTTGTATTTTTAGTAGAGATGGGGTTTCACCATGTTAGTCAGGATGGTCTCAATCTCCTGACTTCATGATCCTCCTGCCTCAGCCTCCCAAAATGCTGGGATTACAGGCTTGAGCCACCGTAGACTCTCACTCACTCTGTCCCCCGGTCTGGAGTGCCGTGGCGCAATCTTGGCTCACTGCAACCTCCACCTCCCGGATTTAAGCAGTTCTCCTGCCTCAACCTCCTGAGTAGTTGGGATTACAGGCGTGCACCACCACGCCCGGCTAATTTTCATATTTTTAGTATAAATGGGGTTTCACCATTTTGTCTAGGCTGGTCTTGAGCTCCTAACCTCAAGTGATCCTCCCGTCCTGGCCTCCCAAAGTGCTAGGATTACAGGCATGAGCCACCACACCCGGCCTACTTACCAGACTTTTAATGAGGCTGTGCCAGGGGTTTGTCATACAAGGGTGAGGGCAAAACTCATGGTCTGCTCTCAGGAAGCTCACAGGCTAGTGGGGGTGGAGAGGTGGGCAAAACCCATGGGAACAAACAAGTAAGCAATGATGAATGTGCTGAGTGTCTTGAAGGAAAGAGGAAGAGGGTTTGACACAGACTGACAGTGAGTGGCCGGCTTTGGACAGGGCTGTCAGGGAAACCTGAGATGGGGCATTTTAGCCGAGATGTGCAGGACAATGGGTAACCAGGCTTGGGAAGAGCAGAGGGAAGTATGTTCCAGGCAGGGGCACAGCATGTGCAAAGACCTAGGTGGGGAATCAAGGAATGGGGGCAGAAAAGGCTATGGGGATGCAGTGATGTGAATGAGGGGCGAGTGGTATATGCTGAGCCTGGAGCGGTGAGCAGGGCTGGATTGTGCAAGACCTCAAGGCTGCAGGAAGAAGTTGGGATTTAATTTTTAATTGGAGAGTTTTATGTGGTTGAATAATATAACTGGCTTTGGGTCCCAAAAGATCACTGCGATTACAGGGTGGAAAATTTCCTCCTACGACATTTAGGTGATTGTAAAAAGTGCTCCTTTGCTATAAATAGCAGTGGCAGCTGCAGTTTATTCATTTGCTCTGTGGACATTCACTGAGCACTTGCCATGTGCCAGACACTTAGCATGTTCCAACCACCCTGGGAATGAGGTATATCGTTACCACTCCCATTTAATAGATGAGGAAACTGAGGCCCGGAGAAGTCAAGTTACCTGCCCAAGGTCACACAGCTTGAAAGCAGTAGAGCTGGCATTTGAACCCAGGCAGTCTGGCCCCAGCATCTCTGTACCTACCATTCCCATCCCACCACCTCTCTAGTTACTCCACTGGCCCTGCCCATTCCTATCTCCTCCCTCCTCTACCCCACAGGACTTCTGGTTACCCAAAGAAGACATAAACCTTGTTAAGACCTAAACATCAGACTCAGGACATGCATAGCCCTCCTTTTTCTCTTGATCAATTTTGCCTGTCTCCCACAACATTCATCTCTTTCCCTGGTTCAGTTAGCATCCTGCACCATCATTTTTAATGCTGATAGCTTCCAATTTTGCTTCCTTCTCCTCCTCCTTCTCTTCTTTCTCCTTTTCTTTCTCTTCCCTTCCTCTTCTTCTCCTCTGTCTTCCTCCCCCTCTTTCTTCTTCTCCAATCCCCTCTTCCTTGCTTCTTCTTCTCGCATTGCTCCCAAACCGTTATTTGGTTCTAAGGTTTGAAGTGCCTGTCCCTATGAAGGAGAGGAGAAAGAGGCTCTGCTGGATTCCTCTCTGCCTACTCTGGCCCACTGCGTCCCTAACTGAGCATCTTCCTTCACAAAACCCTTCCTGCTCTGGGGCTCTGCATCTTGGTAAACAACACCTCCACCTCCCCAATGGCCAAGCCAGAATCCCCTGTATGATCCTTGCTGCCACCTCTCTGCTGCCCGCTTCTCACTTCCAATCATCCGCCTTCTGAAGAGTTCCTCCCTCTCCAGGCCTGACTGCCCTTTGTGGCCTTCCCCCTGCATCTCTGCTTCAGATGTGCCCCTGCAGGTCTGCAACCCATTCTCACCCAGCAGCCAAGAAGCTGAAACACACACATCGGATTGCTTTAATATTACTCTCCTGCCTAAACCTCTTAGTGGCTTCTAATGGATTCTTCTGTCCACTCTTCTGGACATAAGCCTGGGACTCTACACTGAGAGGTTTAGGCAGGAGAGTAATATGAGACTGGCTGTGTTTCTACTGTAAGCCACCACCATCTCTTCCCGAATGCTTCAATAACCTCCTAACTGCCTTTTCCATCTCACTGTCTACATTACGGATAGTAGTGTCCACATTACAGGAATTATGTTAATTTTCATTTTAGTGAATAATGACTTTTTTGAGGGGGGGCTTAAAGTGAAATATATTAATCATGAGATATTTAAGCAGTTCAGAAAGATCCAAAGAATGAGATAAAAATGAAATCCTCTGACATTCCACCAATCCAGCAACAATCAAAGCTGACTTGGGCAAGCAGATAAAAGTGACATTTTAAAAACACAAATCTGTTGGTGCTTCTCTCTCAATTAGAACTTTTAAAGAACAGCTTCCCTTTGCTGCCAGGATAAATATCGACATTTTTTAGCATGGCTTGCAAAGCTTTAGAAACTCTAGACCTTGACATCTTGCTACACTTTCTCTCTCATTCTTTTTGCCCCTTGGTTCCACAAATGGTGTTTGGATTAGTCGGGACAAGACCAGCTGCTGCAACAAATAAGCCTGTAAGTTTCAGTGTCTTAACACATTAGTTTCTTTTTCTTGTTCAGGTGAATGTAGGTTGTATTAATCAAGATTCTTCAGAGAAACAGAACTGATAGTGTATATATAGATATATAAGAGGGGATTTATTATGGGAACTGGTTTATGTGATTCTGGAGGCCAAGAAGTTCCATGATATGCTGTCTGTGACATGGAGAACCAGGGAAGCCGGGTTGAAGACTGAAGAGCTGAGAACCTGGAGTTCTGATGTTTAAGGGCAGGAGAAGATAAATGTCCCAGCTCCAGAAGAGAGCGAATTTGTCTTTTTTCTTTCTTTCTTTTTTTTTTTTTTTTCTGTTCTTGGATGATGCCTACCTACATTGGTGAGGCTGACCTTCTTTACTCAGTCTACTGATTCAAATGCTAATCTCTTCTGAAAATATTCTCACCACATGCCCAGAAATAATGTTTTTACTAGCTATCTGGGTATCCTTTAACCCAGTCAAGTTAACACATAAAATTAATTATCCTATAAATGCACCTGGTCCATGGGTATCTTTCTTTCTTGGGGGGGATTCAGGATCCCAGGCTCCCCCTCTCTTATGGCTCTGCCATCCCTTAGAACTTTGGAGAGCGTCATCCAGCCAGCAGCAGAGAGATGGGGGAGCCACACTTTGACCCAGAAGTGACACCATCACTTCCACACACATGCGTTGGCAGTAATTGGTCCCAGGGACATACATTCCCAGGAACAATGGAATGCTTTAGAAGGAGGAGCATAGATTTTGATGGGCAGTTAACTGCCTCTGCTATGTGCTCTTTCTGCCCAAGGATTCTCATACAAGCTGTATCACCTGCTTGAAATGCTGGTCTCCCACTCCTTATCTGGCTAGCTCCTATTTATCATTCAGGTCTTATCTTAAAACTTATTTTTTCTAGGTAGGTTTAGACCCCATAGAAACTTGCAAATCTCTTTGGTAGCTTTGCATGTGTGCAATTAATTTTTTGGCAGGATTATTTATTTCTGTCTTTCTTGCTAGTCTGTAATCACCACGAAGTGTATCTTATCTGTCTTATTTAGTTCTGTATCTTCAGAGCATGCTCAGGATATAGTAGGTGCTCAATAAATATTTGTTGACTTGGTGGTGGTGTAGGGGGTGGTTACGGGCCGAACTGGGATCTGACATTTGGGAGAGTATTTAATGACCTTGATCATTAAGAAACGTTTTGTAGCAGGTTGAAGATTTTAAAAAGACCATGAGTGTTCTTGACTGTGATCTTGTTAATGGAAACATCTATCCTTCTACTCTGTTTCTTGTCACAAACCCCACAGCCACATAATACACTGAGTGAGTGAGTCACAGGCTAGGTAGGGGTCCTACCAAACAGATGGCTCATGGTTTAGGAAAGAAGTTGATATTGCCTTAGTTTGGGTCCCTCTAAAGATGACCCTGAGACAAGGACTAAGGTGCAGGGAGTTTATCTGGCAGATGATTCCAAGGAGGAGGAGTGAGGGACAGGAAGAGTGAACTGAGGATACCAGAAAACCAGCAAGTGTGTTCAATAGAGGGTTACTGCTGTGTGCAACTGGAGCTCCATCCTCTTGGGTACCCTCTGAGTGACTGTGTAGGATATGTTTCAGAATTGTCTCACTGCTGAGTGGGAAAGATGGGGCAATTATTTCACTGATTCCCACACCTCTTTTGTTGATGACGGCCCTGGGGATGTTAAATCTTCAACTCTTCAGGATTGGGCCTGATCTTGCCATACTGGAGAAAGCTCCCAGGCAGAGAGAGTGGGCACTTAAGGAGAGAACTGGTCAACCTGCATGGTGGGCCTAGGAGAGAGGGGCAGGACATTGACAGTGTCTTCTATAATTTCTTTATTAATAATGGTTCTAAGCTTGTTACATATCAGAGCTGTTTAAAAGGCTATTTCTTTTCTGATTATAAAATTATTATTCTCATCGATTTTCTGATGATAAAATACATATGTGATTATATATGTATCTATCTCTACATATAGATATATAGGCATCTATCTGTATCCATATATATAGATATCGATATGATCATAGTTGATTAGATATTTCCATTAGACTGATTCCTAAGAGTAGAGTTGTGTCAAAGGTGTACATGTTAACATATTGACAGACATTCCAAATTGCGCTCCTAAAACATTGTACCAGTTTAGAATCCTGCCAAAAACATATGAGAATATCTATTTTTATTGTTTTTTTGTTTTGCTTTTGTTTTTTTTGAGACAGGGTCTCACTCTGTCACCCACACTGGAGTGCAGTGGTACAATCTCGGCTCACTGAAACCTCTGCCTCCTGGGTTCAGGCGATTCTCCTGCCTCAGCCTCCTGAGTAGCTGGGATTACAGGTACCTGCTACCATGCACAGCCAATTTTTGTTTTCTTTTTTTTTTTAGTAGAGACAGGGTTATGCCATGTTGGCCAGGCTGGTCTCACATTCCTGACCTCAAGTGATCCACCTGTCTCAGCCTCCCAAGGTACTGGAGTTACAGGCATGAGCAACCACACCTGGCCGAGAATATCTATTTTTAATTATCTTCATTAATTCTGCAAAAGATCAATCTCCTGTTAATCTGATGAAACATTAATTTAAATACAAATTTATATGGCTATTAGGGAGGCTGAGTATCTATCTTAAATTGGTTAGTTATTTTTCTACTTTCTATTGCTGTGTTCATTTTTTATTTTTCCTACTGGTGTCTCAGTCCATTCAGGCTGCTACAACAAAAATGTCTTAGACTGGGTAATTTACAAATAGTAGAAATTTATTGCTCACAGGTCTGTAGGCTGGAAAATCCAAGATCAAGGTGCCAGCAGATTCAATGTCTGGTAAGGGCTTGCTTCTTCATAGATGGTTTCTTCTCTACGTCCCCACCTGGTGGAAGGGACAAACAGGCTCCCTCAAACCCTTTTCTTTCTTTTTGCTCTGTCACCTAGGCTGTAGTGAAGTGGCATGATCATGGCCCAGGCTCATGCAATCTTCTAGCCTCAGCCTCGCTCACCACCTTCAGTAGCTGGGACTACAGGTGCATGCCACCATGCCTGGTTAATTCTTTAATTTTTTGTAGAGATGGGTTCTCACTATGTTGCCCAGGCTGGTCTCAAACTCCTGGGCTCAGGGGATCTTCCTACCTCAGCCTCCCCAAGTGGTGGGATTACAGGCATAAGCCATTGCACCTGGCTCAAACAAACCTCTTTTATAAGGGCACTAATCATATTCATGAGACTCTGCCCTCATCACCTCATTATCCCTGAAGACCCCATTTTTTAATACTAATACATTCCAACATGTGAATTTGGGGAGACACCTATATTCAACCATAGCAGTGGGAGGGATAATTGTACTTAGTAAGTCTCAGCCACTGTGGCTGCTGTTGCTGTTGTCCTATTTTCTCACTGCTGGGAAGAAAGGAAGGTGACAGATGGGAGATCCTGCCTCCAGCCTCACAGACCTGCAATGATGATGAAATCATACTTTTTCTGCACATGTTATTATTCAAGGAGTCACTACCTGGTTCGCTGCCAGAAATCAGTGACCTTTTAAGGGTCGTCTAGTCCTGGGTGTTTCCCAGGACACATCTAGGACATGTCCATCAGTTTTTCCCAGCCTTTGGGCCAGCTGGAGACCCTCAAGGCATGGTTGTTCTCTGGGACACAGTTGTCTATGCCAGCAGCCACAGTGGCTTATCACTTGCCAGCAGCCACAGTGACTTATCTTGCACCTCTCTTTCTTTCATGCTGGAGGATTTCTTCAAATGTCTGATGATTTCTGGTTACCTCTCCATACTTAGAATAAGAGTTTGGAATCTGAGCTGTGATCAACTGGCAGATTTTGTGTTGGGTATTTGAATGGGGAGACAGCTGCCTCCAAATGCAGAGCATGGAGGAGTGTCTCAAAGGCCGTTATTTTCTCCAGGGAAGAAACCACCAATCTCCTGTTCATGTTCTGAGAGCCGAGGTGGAAGAGTGTGTGGGTAGGGAAATCAGACTTCCAATGACTCCCTCGTTCTCCAGGACTATGTCTTATTCCTTAATATCTCTGCTGTCATGGATCTGAGTCTTTCTGGGGTTTTATGGGAACACCTAGCTCTTATATTTCCTAATTCATTCCCTCTGTGATGACTGTAAACTGCCTTCTCCTGATTGCTGTATCAATTTCTTCCTTGTACTTTCATCTTCCAGAACTTGGTTGAAATCTGCTCAGATAATGGAGTTTTCCCCCTTCTCTATCACATGTGTGGTAGATTGTAAAAAATGATCCAAATGATCCCCTGCCCCTGAACCCATGCCCTTGCAATGCCTTATACCCCAACCAGTAGACTGAAGTCTATTTATTCATTTATTTATTCAGTCAGGGTCATCCATGTGGCTTGCTTTGGCCAATGAGACATTACCAAATAAGATGCATGCGGGGGCTTGAAAAGTGCTCGTGCATCAGGGCTTTACCTCTCTTGTTGCTCTTGGAAAGGTGCCACCATATGAATCAGCCTGGGCTAGCCTGCTGGAGGATGAGAGGCACATGGCACAGTCTTCCCTGCCAGCTGACATTCAGTCAACTTCCAGATATGCAAGTGAGGCCATCCAGGACCAGCCAGCCACCAGCCAATTCCCCAGCCTACTGCAGATGTATGAGAGAGCCCAGCTGAGATCATTCAGTAGCTTCTACAGAATCAAGGGCTAAATTAATGGTGGTTGTTTTAAGTCACTGAGTTTTGGGGATGTACTATGCAGCAATAGATCACTGGTATGCCATGGCTCTATACATTTTCAGTTTTTTAACTGAATTATAAAGGGATGGCTGGGTGCAGTGGCTCACGCCTGTAATCCTAGTGCTTTGGGAGGCTGACGTGGGAGGATTGCTTGAGCCCAGAAGTTTGCGACACCGTCTCTGCCAAAATAAAAAGTATAAAATTTAACTAGGCATGGTGGCACACACATGTAGTCCCAGCTACTAGGGAGGCTGAAGTGGGAGGATGGCTTGAGCCCAGGAGTTCGGGGGTGCAGTGAACTACGATTGCACCACTGCACCACTCCAGCCTGAGTGACAGAGTGAGACCCCATTTTTTTTAAGCATTTGGCTGCAAGTAAGAGAAAAACCTAACAGTGGTTGAAACAAATAGGGTTTACTATTTAAGAAATCTGCAGTTGCTTTTTAAGAAGTCTAGACAGGCAGTTGCTGGTATTGGTTCAGCTTTTCAATGGGGGATATCAAGGACCCAGGCTCTTTTTATCTCTTCTCTAGCCTCTTCAGCATGCCTATATTTACCTTCGTGCTTGTCCCTTAGTGTTGCCAAGATGATCTCCACACTCTGGGATGCATGTCCACTTCAAAGGAGGAAGGAGGAAAGGGGCTGTAGTGGCCAGTCTGGAAGTCAAAGATTTTCCCAAAGGCCCTATTGGCCAGATCTGAATCACATGGTTATCCCTGCTGCAAAGGAGGCTGGGGACATGAGACTCTGATTTAGTTGGTCAGGGAGAAGGAGATTTGGAATGACTATCAGACCAGCCAGTGAGTACTGTCTACCACGTGTGCTATCATTGAAGGGGGGAAAGGAATAAGCATGTGTAATTAATTTTCCATCCTCCACCCAAACCTGATGACCCATGTCCATTCCCTGCTCCTGCTGCCAGATTGTGGATGCCATTGCTTCTGAAACAAACATGTGGGGGTGTTCTTTGCTTGAAGCCAACCTCTTCACCTCTGAGTGACACTAGGTGACCTCAGACTCTTTCATCCATTGGTATATGGGCCAATGTCCCTTAGACCAGAGTTAGCAAGAAGTTCCTCCCTTCCCTGGTCCAAAGGCCCACCCCATTTCTTTGCTCATCCAAAACTTTTTTAGGATAATTCAGAGTAGGAATATCTACTCCCTTTATATAAACATTCCAGCTTCAACAATCATGCTGTGGTCTACCCCCAAGGCCCAAAAGGACAGCTCACAAAATAGTTTAACATTCCCTAAAGTCTTATTCAGTGTCATTTCTGATCACCTTGATATAAAATATTTAGCAGGATGTAAATGTATAGTTATACCCTGAAATCATTTACATTGAAAATATTGTGACCTTAACGTGTTGTTGAAAGAACACAAAATCCTTTCTAGAACTGAAGGACAGACACTTCCACTTACAGATAGGAAATTTTTGAATTGAGGTCTATGCACCATTAGTCCATGGGATTTTAGAGGAATATTATTTCCAAATATTGTATACCCCAGGATTATGTCAAAATGTTGTGTATAAAGGCAGGTATGCATTCTTTTGGGGAGAAGGTTTTCATTAGAGATGCTGTATTCTAGGAGAGAGACCTAGCAATCACTGATTTAGAGGAACTCCCAGAGGCTGGGAGGATCAGAAGTGGTTTGGAATCAAAATCATAGCCGTGAACCTCAAGGATTGTGACTTTTAATGATCATCCATTTTTCAAAGAATATTCCATCATGTTCTTGTTCTTTAGTGTCCATATCTGTATAGTAAGTCTGGTGAACACACATACCTGTTAAAGCCCATAGGTCTATAAGGATATTCCCTGCTTAAAAATATGAATCCTGAAAAAAACCAATGGGAACAAGCTTTTACTTAGTACCTACTAAGTGCTTGGTGCTGTGTACAGGGTTTTATCTGTATGGACTTATTTGATCAGTCCTTCATTGAGTTAGGTTTTATAATTCCCATTTGATTAATGAAGAAACTCTACCTTTCATTAGGAGGTATGTCAAAGAATTTCCAGCCATTCTTTAAAATCAGCACAACTCTTATCTCTCCATCTTTTCTTAGTGGAATGCCTTGAATACAAGAACTGCTCAATACATGTTTGTTAAATAAAAATTTATAAGTGGAGGAGCTGAGTCCCAGAGAGGGGATGTATCTTATTCAAGTCCTCCCTGCTAGTAAGTGGTTGCACACTTACTAAGAAAGACTAAAATTTAGATCTTTTAACACTGTGACTGACTTGCTATCATCAACTCCATATACTTTTCTTTTTCTCATGCAATTTTAATAATAGAAATAATTTTGTAAGAGCAAATAAACAATGTGTCTGAATTTGCTTTATTTGACTCAGATGAGAAGTTGCAAACTCAGATGTCTATAGTGGCCTGACAGGTAACCTGAATGACTAAAGTGATCCATGTGTAAGAAGGTAAATGGCCATCAAAACTTGACCATGGAATTGGGAGACAATAGGGAGTGGTGGGGACTGTGGTGAACAGGAGAGCCCATGCCCTATTACTTAGCCACAAGTTGAGGTTGCCAAGTGGCTCCATGTGCCCAGAGAACTGCCATATCTTCAGATTTTTCAAGAGAAACTGAGAATCCAAATTGTGGAGTAAAATCTCCCTATTTATAAGTACTGTATGGGTAACAAATTCCAATTTAAAGCACTATGAAGACCGTATATATTCAAAGCTAAATAAAACATTTGTGGGCCAAATTCCCCAACCCAGGCTGCTGATTTGTAACCTCTGATTTGGAGTTTGGGCTTTTCATAGGGACATTTGATATTGGATAATTTCTAATTGTAAGCTGGAAACTTGTGTTAATTTGGGTCAGACAATTCTTCAACAATTTTCTGCAATTTGAAATAAGTCAGGACACAGATAAGAAAACAAATGACGCTTGAACACAGGTGCAGACAATACAACAGGGAAGCCTGTCTACCTCTGCTGAAGGCTGATTTTTCCCCTGGGCCATTCAAAGGCACTGCAGGACAGGGAGAGGACAGGAGTAGGGAGAAGATGGAGAGAATGGATCACTTGCATTGCTGAAAATATCTCTACAACAGATCTGTAAAAGCAAATAAGGTAATGAAACCTTAAGCTCAAAAATCTGTTTTTTGGGTGACAAGGTTATGTTCTGTGAATATTACACTATGGAGAAGCCCAGATCTTAAATCGTGGGTTCCATACACTTTTTAAAAGAGGAGACTGATGCTTTTCTGAAAAGTGAGGAGGGGATATTTTCCTTTAGAATATTTTAGTTTTCTTCCAAAAATGTAAGAAGTACTAACAACACAGGGATTGTCCCATTTAATGTTATAAACGATCATCCTTCTTACTGTTTTTCCTTCCATTTAAGTAACAAATACCATTTGTAGAAAAGTTGGAAAATTGGTTAAGCATAAAAATAAAACATAAAACATCATAATCTTACTTCCAAGAAGAAATCATTTAAAAAATTGGTTTGAAATATATCCTTCCAATTTTCTTTGTGCATGTTAGTGGCCATTGTGAGCTTTGGGAAGCTTTAGGTGGTATCTGGTTAAGTTGGTAAGCCAAGGGGCTCAGCCACCCCTTTTGTCCCAAGGTTTTCCATGCAAAGGAGTGCACACGAAACAATGGGGAAGAAAGTGCCATGCTACAGTTAGCTGGGCTTGTGCTGAAACCCCAGTGAGGCTCTTTTTGGTAAGCTGGGGCACATGGCTTATTACCAAGATGTATTAAGGGATCTTTGTCCTTCCCCAAGTCCAGTCTGAATCTTGGAGTCTTATATCCCTCTGACCACATGGGACAGGTGACTGAAGAGATGAGAATCCATCGATGAAAGAGTATGATGTAAGAAGAACACACCTATTAGAACATAGCTTCCCCACCCACTGGTAAATATGGACCAATCAATGTCCGTTGGAATTGGACCCAACGAGATCAGGGTTCCTGCCTCTTGGGGAGGAGTGGGGTTAAGGAAGGGAAGAGGGAAGAGCAAATGGATTTCCACTTGCCGTATGTATACAAATATTTCTTTTTACAAGATGGGATCACATTATGTTTATTGCATGCACAATCATTTGTCTTTTTCACTCAACAATGCCTCATGACTCTCTTCATTCCAAAAGCATGGGGGGGATACTTGAAGGGGCAGGAAAGGAGAGGGTAATTGTACTTATCCTATATAAATCTACACATTCTGACAAAATGGGCTCATGTAGTTCACATTGTATCCTTTGATCCCCCCCGCCCCCGCACTGAAATATCATGACCATCTTTTTTTTTTTGAGACGGAGTCTCGCTCTGTCGCCCAGGCTGGAGTGCAGTGGCGTGATCTCAGCTCACAGCAAGCTCCGCCTCCCGGGTTCAGCCACTTTCCTGCGTCAGCCTCTCCAAGTAGCTGGGACTACAGGCGCCCGCCACCACGCCCGGCTAATTTTTTATATTTTTAGTAGAGACGGGGTTTCACCGTGGTCTCGATCTCCTGACCTCGTGATCCGCCCGCCTCGGCCTCCCAAAGTGCTGGGATTACAGGCGTGAGCCACCGCGCCCAGCCTTGACCATCTTTCAGTGTAAAAAAAAGCCCAGAAATCTCTAGGGGGAGGACTGAAAGGAGAAGTGGGGGAGGAATAAGGCCATTTACCACATTTACATGTGCACACCTATAAAATGAGATCCTGCTGAGCATATGGTGCAATAACTTGCTTTTATTTTTACTTAAAAACATTATGAACATCTTTCTGTGTCCAGAAGTACAGTACCCTTTTGGTGAACACTGCATCCCTTAGTGCCATTAATTTTTACAGCTCTGTTATTTTTTAACATCTGTAATTTCCTATGAATCCTAGCTCAACTGGACACTATGTACCTTTGGCCAAATTATTTACCTTCCCTTAGCCTTAGCGTCTTCACCTGCAAAATGAGAATAACTCTACTTGCCTTAAACAGCTATTTTGAGAATATCTCATTAAATGAGATAAGGCCTGGGAGCTAAAAGTAGTGATAGGATAGATTTCATTTTTGTCTGCCTCCTGAGTTCCAGACATCCCACTTTAAGTGCAATATGTCATTGAGTTCTCAAAATGATTTTAATTGCTGGACACCATCATTCCATTTTACAGATGAGAAATTGAGGTTCAGTGGGGGCAAGGTACACTGTCCAATAGAAATAGAATGTGACAGATGATTGGATTTTTAAAAAATGTGTTATATATACACCGTGGAATACTACTCAGCCATAAAAAGGAATGAAATTCTGTCATTTGAAGTGAAATGGATGGAACCGGAGGGTACTATGTTAAGTGAAATAAGCCAGGAACAGAAAGTTAAACATCACACATTCTCACTCATATGTGGAAGCTTAAAGTTGGCCTCAAAGAAGTAAAAGTACAACAGTGGATATTAGAGGCTGGGAAGCGTAGGGGAAAGATGGAGATGGGGAGAGATTTGTTAAAGAATACAAAATTACAGCCAGATAGGAGGAATAATTTTTAGTGTTCTATAACACTACAAGGATGACTATAGTTAATAATGATACATAGTTTCAAATAGCTAAAAGGAGGATATTGAATGTTCCCAACATAAATGATAAATCTTTGAAATAATGAATATGCTAATGACTTTGAGCTGATCACTATATATGTATCAAATCAGCATTATATATCCCGTAAATATGTACAGTTATTCTGTGTCAATTAAAATAAAAGAAATTGAATGTGAGTCAATTCTGACCAGCCAAATTTCAAGTGCTCAACAGCCACTTGTGGCCAGTGGCTACCATATTGGACAGTTCAAGATTAAGAGACTTGCTTAAGATCATGCACCGAGAAAGTGACAGAGCCTGGGGGTGAACACCAATTTGTCTGATTTCAAAGCCACTTTCTATACCACACTAATGTCCACTGAATGGGTAGAGAAAATGCTGGATGAATCTGCATTGGGAGGGAATGGGAAGGTCAGTGATGTTCCCAGGTTACCCTTGAATTTGTCCTTTTAGCTACATCCTCTTTGCCACAGTTTTTCTTTTGCCCCATTTCTTCAGTCTGGGCCACTGTGCTATCATTAGTCATAGCCTTTAGTGATTGAGTGCCTCTTGTGGAGCATGAAGACAAGTTGATATCCTGAGCATGAACACCATGCAGGTCTTGTCATGCCTGCTCCTGCCCCCGATGCTGATGGGAATCATTTGGGTTGACTAGCAGAGAGCACATAGGAAAACACAAATGAATACAAAGAGTTTGGAAATGACAAGACCCGGGAAGGACTGGGTGCCATTCAGCTAGGTTTCTATTCATGAGTCTAATGCAAGACTTCCCTTGGCTCATTCAGAAAAAATAGAGCAGCTTGGTTTTTGACTCTTGCTCAGAGTTTTAAAATAAATGTTGACACCATACTGTCCAGGGATCAGCATTTGAATCTGGCATTGACATTTCCTTCAGCAATTTCTTGGTTTGTACTGTCTACAGATGTATTGTGACCCATTGGATGGTATTTACTTTGGCTTATATTGGTTTTGACATCAGAAGCAGAGAGTTTGTGCATGACACAGCTGTCACTCTGGCTGGTGACATGGGGTCACCTTTGACTCAGACTTCTCTTGGATCCTGCTCATCCCACCTGTCATAAAGCTCATCTTCTCCATTTTTGGAGTGATCTTTGGAACCTTTCTGATGCCATTACTTACATTTTCATCCAACATCTCATCCTTGCACTTGGGATAAGTCTGCCTTTCTTACCTTGGTCTACAAGGCCTACATGATTTGTTTTTTCCCACCTCTCTGATTTCAACTGCTTGCCTTCTCCTCTTCACTGCCTTTGCTCCTGCCACGTGGCCCATCTGTTCCCTCTTCAAGGTCCTTTTGTTTATTGCGTCTTCTGCTTTGAATGCTCTCCCTCTGGATCTTTGTATGGCTGGCTCCTTCTGAGCTTCTGGATCTTGACCCAAGCCAAACTTTCCTTCCCTGATCACTTTTTCTAGTGATGCCCCCTGCTCCTCACCATCCCATTATCTAGGTTTATATTTTTCAAAATGCTTACTGCCACCTAAAATCATTGTGCCTATTTATTGACTTGTTTATTTGCCATTTATCTGTCTCTTGTTGGAACATAAGCTTCAGGAGAGCAAAGCCTATTCCCTTCTTGTTCTCCATTGTGCCTTGCACTGATGTTCAGCAGTTAGGATTTGCCCAATAAATATTTGCTGATTGAAGGCCAGGAGCCTTGCAATGGCTTTCTAACTGGTATCTAATTCGCTCTGCACACTCTTACAGGAAAACTCCTCTTGAAGCTGAAAGTGTTTCATCAGCCTGTCAATAAGATTTTGTCAGAAGCTCAGCCCTCTCAGCGCTGCCGCTGCCTGGTTCATACTCCCTGAGTGGCCCTCCTTTGCCTGCGGTGCTCTTCCATGGCTCTCTGTCATCTTCCTTCGCAACACCGCCCCAACTCTTATCTCCAACCTGACCCGTTATTGCTGGACATTGTTTTGAGAATTTGGTGGAATTTGGTGGGAGGATGCAGGGAGTGTCTGAGTCTCACGTGGCCCAGCTGCTCCACCTCTTAGCTGAGGTTTTATGCACACGAGGGGCAGTGACAAATGGGAAAGCAGAGGTCTTCTTAGTGATTATCCGGCAAGTGCCCCACACCTGTACAGGTCTCTGGGGCAAGTGACTTAGTCTCAAGGCCCAAGTGGGACCTCTTATTTCTTCCAAGTGACACTCTTACCACTGGCTGGCCACCAAGCTGAGATTGTCATGCAGCAGCAGCAGCATAAGAAAGGACCAGATGAGGGCGGGGAAAAAGAGAGAGAGAGAGAGACAGAGAGAGAGAGAAAGGCAGAGAGAGAGAGAGAGACAGACAGAGAGAGACAAAGACACACGCACGCGCGCGCGCGCACACGCACACACACACACACACACACACACACACACACAGAGAGAGAGAGAGAGAGATTCTGTTTACTTGAAATGGCCTCTTCTTCCATGAAGCTCTCTTAGATAATTACTTTAGATTTAAGACAAGCTACTTGATCTTTCTCATCATCAATTGCCTCATTGGTAAAACAGGAGATAATGCCAACCCATAGGGCTCTAGTTAAATGTGTGAGTGACGATTAAGTGAGGAAAAGTCTCTAAAATACCTGGCACCATTGTGAAAATCTGAAGTCACTTCATCTATGCTGTTCCCTTCTGCTGTCTGAGTTCTCATCCCTTCTAGCAGTTTGCTGTAAGTTTTATATACAACATTTAGGGAAGGAAATCTATACAGAGTTTTCAGATAAAATACAGGAATCCTAGTTACATTTGAATTTCAGATAAGCAAGGAATAATTTTTAGCATAAGTATGTCCCAAATATTGTATGGGATATTCTTACATACACAATTATTCATTGTTTACTTGAAATTCAAATTTAACTGGGCTTTCTGTGTTTTTGTTTGCTAAATTTTGGCAACCCTAATCCATAGACAAGGATCAGAGATGTATAGACTTAAGATAACTGGTATTGCTTCTGGTGTATATCCTAACCAAAATTCACAGGATGGGATGGCTCACCAAACACGCTTTCATTTTGGAACTTCATTTGGAAAGGTTAACAGTTTTGAAGGAGGAAAAAAAGAAATTTGTTTATTCCAGAGTAAGCACATTTAAAAAAATCTTTTTTAAAAGATTGAGGGTATTGCCTATCTAAAATAATATAGGCCAGTTTCAGAGGTTGATCAATAAAGGAGGAAGTGCTATAGCTCACTGGGAAATCGATTTTGAGTGAAAGGAACAAATGGATCTTAAGCCAAGTCTGATTCCTACCTCTGGGTACCAGCCTGACTTTGTTGCTTGGCTGTGTCTTTGATATTTATGCTATCATTTTATTTCCACATAATCTTGGGAGGCAGGTAGGGGTATCCCCATTATATGGAGTCCTAGAGGTTAAGAGATTGGCCCAAAGATGGCCAGTGGTTGCCCACATTCATGGAAGATTTGCTATGCACAGGGAAAGTGCTAACATATTGCATCCAGGTAGTACTTCTCACGTGTTACATCTCTATCCCAGGAGACCTGGAGTAGTTTTTTTTGCTACTAGTTATCATTTATTATTATTTTTATTTCAGTAGTTTTGAGGGTACAGGTGGTTTTTGGTTACATGGATAAGTTCTTTAGTGGTGATTTCTAAGATTTTGGCACACCTATCATCTGAGCAGTGTACACTGTACCCAATATGTAGTCTTTTATCCCTCACCCCCTCCCAAACTTTTCCCCTGAGTCCCCAAAATTCATGATATTCTTATGACTTTGCATCCTCATAGCTTAGCTCCCACTTATAAGCAAGAGCATACTATATTTGGTTTTCCATTCCTGAGTTATTTCACTTAGAATAGTGGCCTCCAGCTCCATCCAAGTTGCAGCACAAGACATTGTTTTGTTCCTTTTTATGGCTGAGTAATATTCCATGGTGTATATAGACCACATTTTCTTTATCCACTCGTTGGTTGATGGACACTTAGATTGGTTCCATATCTTTGCAATTGCAAATTGTGCTGCTGTAAATGTGTGTGTATGTGTGTTTTCCACATAATGACTTCTTTTCCTTTGGGTAGATACTCAGTAGTGAGATTGCTGGATAGAATGATAGATCTGCTTTTAGTTCTTTAAGAAATCTCTATACTGTTTCCCAGGAGACCTGAACTATTATCATTCCTTTTAACAGATGTACAAGTGGAGGCTCAGGGAGGCCATACATAAGTAAGAATTATGGTGAAGGTGGGACCTCTGGTGGGCCTGACTCTGAAGCTCAGACTCTTCATTGCTAGGTTGTGTGCCTTCTCATCCCAACTCTTCTGACTCCAAGAACAGTTTTCCTTTTGATGTGAATACAGAGAAGAGAGCCAACTCAGAATGAAGGGCTCAGATAGGACTCCAGGAGAAGAGGAGAATTCCCCCATCAAAAAGATGTGCAGCTCTAGATAACTCAGGTTATTTTTCATTTTAAATGGTGAGGTAATTCTTTCCTTCAAAACAAAATCTGTTCTCTTTTTGGTCTCCATCATATCTCTCTCCTACTCTACCTCTTTCAGTATCCAAATAATTTGCCTAGGAGATTGGTAGGACTGGATCAGAAGGCTTCAGCATTTTATGTCATATGCTTTGGTCTTGTTTTCTTTTTTCTTTCTTTTTTTTTTACAGTAAACATGCTTATTCTTTATAATATTAATAGTAACAATGATACTATTTAAGATTTTTAAAAAGCATACATGAGGGCACCTAAGAAAAATCTACAAGTAATATCATACTTAATAACTGACTACTGAAAGCTTTTCCTCTAATATGGGAGCAAGCAAGATTATTCCCCTTTGCCACTTCTGGTCAGGATTTGAGGTCCTACCCATGGCAATAAGGCAAAGAAAAAGGCATACAGTTCAGAAAGGAAGAAATAAAACTGTATTTTCAGGCAACATGATCATGTATGTAGAAATTCCTAAGGAATCTATTAGAAAAATGACTAGAACTCATAAGAGAATTTAGCAAGGTTGCAGGATACAATGGCAATATAAAAAATTTAATTTTACTACTATATACTAGGAATAAGTATTGCAAAATGAGATTTTAAAACAACACTATTTATGATAGTACCAAGAACATGAAAAGCTTAGAAACAGACATAAAATGCTGTAAAGATCTTTACACTGAAAACTATAAACCATTGCTGAGAGAAATGAAGGAAAATCTAAATAAATGCAGAGATATTCCATACTATGGGTCGGAAGACTCAATATTGTTAAGATGTCTAGTCTTCCCAAATTGATTTACAGGCTTAATCTTCACTCAAAATCCAAACAGGGCCAGGCATGGTGACTCACGCCTGAATCCCATCACTTTGGGAGGCTGAGGCGGGTGGATCACTCGAGGTCAGGGGTTGGCAACCAGCCTGGCCAACATGGTGAAATGCTGTCTCTACTAAAAATACAAAAATTAGCCAGGCATGGTGGCATATGCCTGTAGTCCTGGCTACTCGGGAGGCTGAGGCATAAGAATCGCTTGAATCCAGGAGGCGGAGGTTGCAGTGAGCTGAGATCATGGCACTGCACTGCAGCCTGGGTGAGAAGAGTGAAACTCCATCTCAAAAAAAAAAATCCAAACAGACTTTTTTTTTCTTTAAAGAAATTGACAAATGAATTCTAAAAGTTATATGGAAGTGAGAAGGACCCAGAATAGCCAAAATAGTTTTGAAAAAATAAGTTGGAGGATTCATACCACTTGATTTCAAGACTTATTAAAGAGCTACAGTAGTCAATATAAAATGTCATTGGCAAAAGGAGAGAAAAGTAGTTAAATGAAATAAGATAATTGAGAAATAGACCCGCACATATTTAGTCAATTTTTAACAAAGGTGCCAAGACAGTCCAATGAAGAAATAATAGTCTTTTCAACAAATTGTGCTAGGACAATTGGATATCCACGTGGAAATAAATGAACTTCAACCCATATATTACATCATATACAAACATTAGCTCAAAATGGATCAGAAACCTAAATGTAAAACCTAAAGCTCTACAACTACTAATAAAAAAAGGAGAAAAATCTTTGTGACCTTGAGTTAGACAAAGATTTCTTAGCTAAGACAAAAAAGCATAAACCATAAAATAATGATAAATTTGACCTCATAAAAATGTAGAACTTCTATACTTTGAAAGACACTGTTAAGAAAATGATGACAAGCCACAGACTTAAAGACTATATTTGTAAAACACATAGCTGATAAGTGACATATATTCCCACTGAGATGGCTTTTTAAACCATAAAATAATGATAAATTTGACTTTATAAAAATGTAGAACTTCTATACTTTGAAAGACACTGTTAAGAAAATGATGACAAGCCACAGACTTAAAGACTATATTTGTAAAACACATAGCTGATAAGTGACATATATTCCCACTGAGATGGCTTTTGAAAACAGATAATTAATATCCAATGCTGGTGAGGATATGAAGCCACTGGAACTCTCATACGTTACTGTTGGGAATGGTGTAGCCACTGCAGAAAACGGTAGGATAGTTTTCCCCTCCTTCTCCTTCTCCTACTTCTCCTTCCCCTTTTCCTTCTCCTTCTCCTTCCCCTTCCCCTTCCCCTTCCCCTTCCGCTTCCCTTTCCCCTTCCTCCTCCCCCTCCTCCCCCCGCCCTTCTCCTCCTCCTCCTTCTTCCAGGGTCTTGCTCTGTTGCCCAGGATGCAGTGCTGTGATTATGGCTCACTTCAGCCTTGACCTCCTGGACTCAAGTGATCCTCCTACCTCAGCCTACCAGGTAGCTGGGACGACAGGCATGTGTCACCACACCTGGCTAATTTTTGTATTTTTTCTAGAGATGGGGTTTCACCATGTTGCCCAGGCTTGTGTCAAACTCCTAGGCTCCAGCAATCCTCCTGCCTTGGCCTCCCAAAGTGCTGGGCTTACAGGCAAGAGCCACTGTGCCCAGCCTGAATAGTTTCTTTTAAGGTAAAAAGTATAGTTACTATATGACCCAGCAGTCACACAATTAAATTATTTATCTAAGACAAATGAAAACATATGACCAGATCTGTTTGGGAATGTCTAGAGAAGCTTTATTCATAATTCCTTAAATCTGGAGACAACACAGATGTCTGTCAACAGGTGAATGGATACATAAATTCGGATATATTCATCCATGGGAATGCTACTGAGTAATAAAAAGAAATAAACCACTGATGCACGTGACCACATGGGCAAATCTCAAAAACATTATGTTGAGCAAAAGCAGCCAGACAGAAAAGGGTACAATTCCATTTATATGAAACTGTAGAAAAAGCAAAACCAACCTATAGTGACAGAAAGCAGACAAGTGGTTGCCTGGGGGTGGGTTTGATGAGAAAGAAACAGTAAAGAACTTGTGGGGATGATAGAAACACGTTCTCTTTCTTGATTTGGGTGGTGGTTTCACTTGTCAAAACTCATCAAACTGCACGCTTAAAATCTGTTCGTTTTATTGTATGCAAATTATACCTCAATAAGGTTGATATAAAAGTGAAAAATAAAAAGTCAAACATGCATGAAAGAAAGTCTACATACACTTCTAGGAGCTGGTGGGTTTTCTGGCTTTTTTCTTAAGAATGCCAGAAATTAATTTAACAATTATTTTTACTTTCATATCTTATCCATTTCATGATCTCTAATGCCTAGCAATATGCCTGGCACAGAAGAAGAGTTCAATAAATGTTTGTTAAATAACTGTTAGCCATGCTGAGTTTTTTTTACATTTCCAAGGAGAACAAGCCACTGACTTAAAGGAATAAATCCTTAATGAATTCTTTTTTTTTTTTTCTTTTGAGACAGACTTTCACTCTTGTTGCCTAGGCTGGAGTGCAATGGCGCGATCTTGGCTCTCTGCAACCTCCGCCTCTCGGGTTCAAGCGATTCTCCTGCCTCAGCCTCCCAAGTAGCTGGGATTACAGGCATGCACAACCACTCCCAGCTAATTTTGTATTTTTAGGAGAGACAGGGTTTCATCATGTTGGTCAGTCTGTTCTCGAACTCCTGACCTCAAGTGATCCACCCACCTCTGCTTCCCCAAGTGAATTCTTAATATAATGATTTTTAAGATATTATAGATTGGTGAGAGAGAAGAATTTTTGTCAGACCATCTTTACTAGCCATACAGCCACCCACTATATCTTCACTCCTAAGTCGGAAACTCCTCCTATTCTCATGTAAGCTTCTCAGAAATGGGGAAATCTATTTTTGCAACCTTCACTTCCACTTCCTTCAGCCTTCTCTCATCCACCTGTTGGTTTCTGCCCCTATCCCTCTATGGGAATTACACTCTCCGAGTCTGCACCTGGTCTGCTAATTGCCAAGTTTGTTGGACATTTTCCACATGCTCTTTTGCCAGACTTTACTTTTGCATTTGACATGATTGATCACCCCTTTTCTCTACACTTACACCTTTGGATTTCATTTCAGCAGATTCTCTTGGCTTTCCTTGGCATTTCAAACCTCTGTCTCATCCTTCGCCTACCTCTTAAAAGTTGAGGTTCTCCAAAATACCATTCCAAAGATATCTCTGACATTGTCACTCTTTATACCTCTTTAGGCAATCTTATCCATTCTCATGTCCCAACCACCTTCTCTGGGCTGATGATCCCTTCATCTCCATCCCCAGCACAGCCCTCTCTCCCATACCTCAGGATTTTATGTCTATCTGCCTGCTAGACTTCTTCCCTTCGGTGTCCCCAGACACCTCAAACTCAGCATGGCCCCACTCTGAACTCATGACCTTCCTCCCAGACCTACTCCTCCTTCTCCCTCCATCTTGTAGTCGATGACTTCATCATTCATTCAGTCTCTCAAGCTATGCACTGGGATACAAACTTTTCTTTATCTCTTTTAAAAATTGATTCCCAAGTTTATTTCAACCATCAAAGCCACAGAGAGGGCAGGAGGAGATGGAGTCGAGAGTATAGGTAGAAAGGTGAGTTTTGAACAGAAAAAGAGGTCACCTTACTCTTTAGATGTAAGGAAAAGGTGTAATGATAGATGGGGGTGTGAATCTGGTACAATGCGGGAAGTTGAAAAAGTTCAAGCCTGGTGGCTAAAATTTCTCAGAGAGAAGATGTAATGCTTATTATCTTTTATCCACAGGACAACCATAGGAGAGAGGGAATAAGGTTTCTGGGGCCTCAGTGAGCAGAATCAGGGCTAAGGTAGCTATGAGAAGGTGGGTGGTAGTTTCACCTAAGGTCAGGTCTGAAGCTATCCTATGACAGAAGGCACTGCCTTGAGATTTAGTGAGTTCTGTGTCCCTGGAGGTATTTCAGCTGAGTGTGGGAGGATGTTTGCCAAAAATGGAGTGGGTTATTTCAATCTTATATTGGGGAGTGATAGAGATGGTAAGATGTTATGGTTTAGCTCAATGAGTTCTAATGTCTATTCCAATTCCAAGCACTGACTGGTCTGTGGTTCAAGGCCTTGAGACAAAGAGACAGTAATGAAACATAACAAAGAAGAGATGTGGTTCGTCAGAAGCAAGGAAAACCAAGATGCAGGCACCAATCTTCACATTTTCTATGTTGACAGTGTCCAACCAGAAACTTACAGCAGGGCCCACATTCCTGAAATTATGATTTGAAATAATTTGAGCTATGAGTTCTTTAACTGCAAAATGTACTGTATGCTATTAATCAGAAGTAAGCTTTCCTTCCCCATCACCTCCATTTTTGCGATTAAGAGCAGAGCAGAAGGAGTTAGGGGATTCCACTTGGGATAAGTACTAGGTGGTTTTAGCAAGCACAGCCACCTCCTGAATACCAACTAAGCTGCCTGTATGTCTGGAAAAGTTTGGAGGACAAAAGTTGCCATCAGATGCAGATAAGCTGGCTCAGTTTCAGTGTTATTTTGTATTTGTTTCCCTTTCCACTTTATAGACATAAACTACATGAAGACTCTCTTAGGTTTTAAAATATTCCAGGAAACTAACATCATCGCCTCTTCCCACTCCCCACTTCTTTGCCCATACTTCCCCTTCTGGTCCTATGTCAAGGCTGAAGAAAATAGCCAGATGTTGAGACTTGCAACAAATTCTCTTTGAGTTAATTATGGTCAGAGCCCAGTATTAGGAGCTGGGATGAGAGATTTGCCCAGGAGATCAGGAGTTATTCACAAAGCACTTTTGCCTGGATGGTCTGGTTTGATTATCACTAGGGAAACTGAGGCAGGTACAATGGCCTGCCTCATAGATGAAGACATTGATGCTCAGGGAGATTAAGTGGCTTGCCCAAGCCCACATGGGTGCTAGGGAACAGGTCTCCAGCCTTCATGCTCTTTGCCCTGTGCTGTGCAGCCATAGACTAGAGTGAAGGAATGGCTGTAACTGAGGAGTAAAGAAGAGTGACTGAAGAGAAGAGGGAAGAGCTGGACCAAGGGTCTGGGCCCCACTTGTAGGAGCCTTTGCTAAACTCTCTGCAAGGAGCCCCCCAAAAATGTTCTGCTGGTCAAGTGAGACACATGCCATTAGTGGAGATTCGGAGTTCTTCTTAGCATATTAAAGGACCTGACACGTCAAACTGATAAAGAAACTGGTCAAATTTTTGTATTAGGTTAATTCAACAGTGATGGCTTAGCACGGTGTGGTGGATTGAAGATCACTGCCTTAATTCTACCCCCTTCCCTGTAACATTCCCTTTCCCATCTAGTTTTGAGGGACTTGTCCACTCTGATGCTAGGCTGGGCCACATGACTTGCTCTAGCCAACAGAATGACTAGGAAGCAAGGATGTGCCAGTTCTGAGCCTGTATCTCAAGAGGATGAGGAAGCAGGGATGTGCCAGTTCTGAGACTGTTTTTCAAGAGGACTTGTGTGTTTCCACATGTTCTTTTGCACCTTTGCCATTGCCTTGAGGACATGCTTGGGGTAGTTGTTGGTCCAAGAAAGATGAGAGACAGGTGGAGTTGAGTCCAACCTGGATCAACCAACTCCCAGTGGAGTCAGATGTGTGAATAATAAACTTTTATTATTTGTGGGTTTGTTACACAGCATATTGTGGCTATAAATGATACAGAGGATGAAATAATGAAAAGGTTTTATTTATTCTCCACCATTCTTCCAGCTGAGCATTGTAAAATAGACTTTCCCATCCTTAGTCAGATTCCCCAACTTTTAGGCTAATTTAAGTCATTAAAAGTCCATTCTAGTATAGAACTGCAGTACTGAAGCCATCCTCATGAAGTTAACAAAAATTTTGGACAGAAATATAGTCATAATTCAGCATTAATCAGGCTGCACTTTGACCCACTTCCTTGTAACAGAAAGTAACATAGCACTAGATAAGGCTTTTATTTAAGAATTGCTTAAGCAGATCCTGAATTCCAGTGGAAATGCTGACACAAATCAGCTTACAAACCTCCACAGAGGAGCTGAATCAGCAATGGGAATACAGTTTCTTTATCTCCCTGTCTCACGACTTCACCCTGCATTCTTTGACCAATCCATGATCTCCACATCTGCCCACCCCAAAACCTTTAAAAACCCTAGCCCCAAACTCCTTAGGGAGACAGATTTGAGGTTTCCTCCTGTGTCTTCATTCAGCCGCCCTACTATTAAACCTCATTCTCTGCTGCAACCTGGTTTCTTGGCATATTGACTTGCCATGTGCCTTGGGCAATGAACCTATTACAATTATAACCTCAAATTGAATTTAAATCTCATCTTCTTCTCCTCCCAGATCAGACTTGAGCTACAGCTTCAACTGTTTGGAGTTGAAGGGAAAGGCATACAGTTTGCAGTGAGACACCCCTCTTTTCACTCCATTTCCTCCTATCTTTTCTCTTCTTCTTCTTCTTTTTTTTTTTTTTGAGACCGAGTTTCACTCTGTTGCCCAGGCTGGAGTGCAGTGGCATGATCTCAACTCACTGCAACCTCCACCTCCCAGGTTCAAGCAATTCTCATGCCTCAGCCTCCTGAGTACCTGGGACTACAGGCGTAAGCCGTCACACCTGGATAATTTTTGTATTTTTTAGTAGAGATGGGGTTTCACCATGTTGGGCAGGCTGGTCTCGAACTCCTGACCTCAGGTGATCCGCCCACCTCAGCCTCCCAAAATGCTGGGATTACAGGCATCAGCCACTGCGCTCAGCACCTCCATCTTTTCAAGGTGCAGATCTATGGTGCTGGGTGATGGAGAGACAGAGGGAAGGTGGCCCTTTGCTCAAAGGTTCAGTTGTGTGCTGATGGCCACAGCTGGTAGTGTGGTCTCTGAGTAGGTGGTGTGAGTGGTTTCCTTGAGGGTGGGGTTCCACTTCTCCCTGGACCCATATATCTAAGAAACTGGGAAAGCAATGCGGCTACCATCATCTCTTTCTTCCCAGAGATCCTACCCCAAGGTGCCTTCCAGTCCTGCTGATGGGGGATGCTCACCTCCTGCGATCCTGGGCCAACAGGAAGAGACCCAGTGCACATCCTGTTATTATGCTTTGTTTTGACCAACATTTCAAAAATTTATTTGGCTAAGAATCTCTTTAATATTCTGACTTTGGGAGAGTACACTGCTAATGGATTCCTGGGGAGCTTGGGCATAGTGGAGATTTAATAACCTACTCATTATATGCAGTAGATTGTTACACAAATTTTGCAATAATTATATCTTTTAAATGGGTCGTGCTAACAATCTGGAGATTAAGAACCATAAAAATGAGACTGGCTGAATTGAATGCAGTAGAGACCCAAAGTAATCGCGCTTTAAATTAGGTAGTTTGCTTCTGTCTCAAATAAAAGTTCAATCTGGTATGGAGGCTCTATGTGGTGAAACTATCTTTTCATTTCTGTTATCTTACCATGGGAGTTCTTCTTGATCTCAGGGTACAACATGGCTCACCACCATGTCCATATGCCAGCCAGTTAAAAGGGAGAAAAAGGAAAAGGTAGGGATCTGCTCCTTCTCTTTAAGGGCATGGCTCAGAGATTGCATGTGTCCTTTGTGCTAGCATCCTGTTGACTGGAATCAGTCACCTAGTCATACTTGGCTGCAAGGGAGTCTGGGAAATGTAGTCTTTATCCCAGATTGCCTTGTGTCCAGCTATAAATTCTATTTTTATGGAACAAAGAGGAGAAGATATTGGGAAACAGACAACTAGAAATTCTTGCCACCTACTCAGAGTAACTCTACTCCTTAAAAGGTATTCTAAGGAAATTCAGAAGAAGGAAAAATAATTTGTGCAAGGAGGTTTATAGTTCAATGGTACAATAAACACTATTCTTAATAAAGTTTTGTTTGTGTCCACTGCAGTGATAATTATGAAGGTAATTTAGACCCATGGAAAATTGTGTGGAAAAAAGTAGAATACAATTTCATGCACAAGGAAATTAAGATCCTTTAAAAATTAATTTTTTTAATCGAAATTTTTAAATTTTAAATGTTTTGGCATATTGACTTGTTTAATATGTTTAAATGTTTAAATTTTAAATGTTTTAAATTTAAACTTTTTTTAATTGAAATTGAGATTGGGTCTTACATCTCAGGCTTATATTTTGAGAGGTAATATTTCTTCCTTAACTGCTGTTTTAAAATCTAAGTGTATCAACAGCATGTTAAAATTTAAAGAGGTGACTGTGTCCATCCATTCATCCACCACTCCATTCATCCACCCATCTGTTTTCTAGTTCAATTATTCAATGGCTATGACTTGAGACTCTATTAGGTGCTGGGAATATGATGGATGTGGTTCCTGATTTCATGGAGCTTCTAGTTTGTTGGGAGAAACAGACCCAAACAAATAAATGTATGCATTTCCTGACAGTTGCATAGTGCTATGAAAGACAAGTATAGGATAAAATGACAAAAGATACCATGGAGACTAGAGCAGACACTTTTGGTGCCTCTCCCATATCCCCTTGGCACTAACCATTTTATTATGTGCCGACAGCATGCAACTAATTGTAAAGAACTTTATCTTGATTGTCACATATGATTCAGGCAGAAGTTCTTTGGAGTCAATGTCCCCAGGAAAGGCCCTCAACCAATGACAGATGAGAATTAGAGTATAAATACCCCAGCTTCTCAACTCTTCAGGTGGGATAACTCTGAGACATGTTTTCTCCCTGCCCCAGAACTCCTCAGTGCAATGAAGCCCCAGTCGCCCACACAGAACAGGTTCAAGGATGCACTCTTCAATGTCTTCCTTCTATTCTCTTCTCCTTTTCTCTCCCTACTGATGCTTGCTGGGATCACTTTCCAAACAAACTGCTTGAACTTACATTTCATTCTCCTGCCCTGCTTCTGGAGAAACCCTGCCCCAAATCAGGCACTTCAACAAATGAGAATGGCTTTAGGAAGTGGTTTTTACACAGAGCCTTGAATAACGCATAGAGGTTTAGCTAGGTGAAGATGGTGGATGGGTGGTCCTGACCGAGTGTCTCACTCAAGATTCTTGTTTGCAAGTAACAGAAAAGAAATCTGTTTTTCTTAAGCCAGGGATGGGAGAACTGAATGGCCCCAAATAATAACTTTGAAATGCTCAATTTTATATAGAGAGATAGGGTTTGGAGTCTGGAAGATGTCCTCTCATACTGACATTTGAGCAGAAACAGACTTAAGCTTACTCCTGCACAGGTGTAGAGGCCTTCTAGTGAGCACACAACTTACAGAGGACAAGCTTGTAGTCTGACGAGTCCCTTGATTTGGGGAAGCTGCAACACCTGGTTTCTCCGGGGAAGCCAGAGGATCCCAACAAGCCGTGACCTACATTGTTGATTCTCTGCAAGGGCTTTGTACCCCAAGAGGCAGTGGAGTGGGCAGGGGTTTTTAAACAGTGCTTCTTGCCACACTGAGGGTTTCTTTCAGCTTTCTCAGAATGGGGCCATGTAAGAGGTAAGCTGCAAATGCTCAGAGTTTCATTGTGAGATGCTTGAAGAGAGTCTTTTGATGCTAAAAAAATCATTTGAAAATGAGCTTACCTGGCTGGAATCCTATATTTGTCACTCATTAGCTGTGTGGCCCTAGGTAAGTTAATTAGCCTCTCCAAACTGCTTTATCTTCCTCCTGTCCCTTCTCCTCCTCGACCATCACCATCCACATCATTACCTAAACATTGACTATGATAATTGGTTTAGATACATTCTGCCATTGACTTCTCACACCAACCCCTTTAGTTAGGTAGTTTTACCCTAACTTTACAGGTGAGGAAACTGGGGCCTAGGAAGATTGCCTCACTTCTCCAAGATCACCCAATAGGTGGCAGGGCTGGGATTTAAACCCAGATCAGTCTGACTTCAAAGCCTGTAGTCCTAACCACAAATAGGGTGATTGTCAGGATAAATGAGAATATATAGATACAAGCATATTGCCTATCTCTGTGCCTGCCATGTAATTGGCTTTTAACAAGTTATAGCAATTGTGATATTCACCTTGTTTACATCATTGGGTATTTGCCATCCCAGAATGTGACTAGGCCTTTGGGGACATTTGCAGAGCAGGGAGAGATTTTATATTTATCAAGAAGTATAGCTAATCCTAACTTCATTTACTTTTCTCTTTAGGGACAGTCAAGGTGTAATGGTGCCAGGCCCATTGCCTGATGTGCAGCAAGGCAACATGCCTAGATGCTGGGTTGCAGCAGAGAAAGTCTTAGTTGTAAGGCTGCCAAGTGAGGAGATAGGAGGAAAGCTCCAATCCACCTCCATGAAGAATTTGGATCTAGAATTTTAAGGAGTTTGGATGGGTAGTGGGCCAAGGTGTTGATTGGTCAAAGAGTACGGGCTGAAGTCGTGGGACGGGAAGCTGAAGAAACCGCATTCTCATGCTGACTTAGCTCCTTGGTGGAATCTTCAGACTAGTTGGCTTCAACTGTTCTGAAAACATCTCAAACAGAAAGTCTTGGGCTCCTAACATCTATAGGAACAATGAGGAAGTTCATGGTTTATGTCACAGCCTATGTGGTCCATAAGTAGCTACAGGGAAGTAGGTCAAATGGCAACCTGATCAATGCCCTCTCTGTACCTTTATCTAAAGTCTGGCATGTAATTCTCGTTAACCCTGTGGAGATGGTGTTAACAGTGCAGTCTTCCAGGACCAGGAGGGGAAAAGGGGCACATAACCTCTTTGGGCTGTCCAGGCGGATGGCGGCATTTGCAAGGCTGCTGGGAAGAGAGATGGGGCCAGCGCTGGAATTGGCTTCAGAGGTAGTGGCTGGTCATTAATGAGATGCCAAAATGGGGGCGTACAAGGGATCAAGCAGCAAGTGTTCGTGGAGAGTCCACTGTGTGCTCAGCAAAGCGTTAGGACCAGCGTGTGGGAGGAGCTGGTGGGGAGCAAAGCAGTGGGGTTGTGGGTCCATTTGCTCCTCCAGAGGGACACCGAGTGACATCAGTGCCTCTGTAGTGATGAGCAGAGTTGCTACCTCTGTACTCTGGGAGGCAGCTTGGTTTGTGTCTGAAAGCCTTTGTTGGTGGATGAGTGTCCATGTATCTGATCTCCATGACCTCAGAGAATTATCAAGCGCCCAGGGGATCGGAGCCTCCTGCGAAAATAGAAGGACCTAAAGGTACCAGGTGAAAGGGATGGCTGGGAAGTCCCACGGGCAAGTTTTCTTTTCCTTTGTCCTTTGTTTTCTTTCTCTCCCAGATCTGGATCCTATAAAGAATGCTATAGATAGGAAAATAAATAAAAACTCTATCACAGATTTGATTTTTACTCTCATTTATTGGAGTTCAGGCATACAGGACACAGAGAAGGGAAATAAACAGCAATTATATAAGGTTTCTGTCAAAAAATTTTCTCTATTTTTATGGCAATACAACCACCAAAACCCTAAAACTCTTACTCTCTTAAAATGCAGCTCCCTTTGATGGGTGTGTATGGCAAAGGTGACAAGTGATTTTATTTTGATTTTTAAAAACAGACCTGCTAGAACATCTGCCACACTAGGTGTTGAAAAAGTGAGCTGTTTAGGTACCTGACCACTCTTAGTTCCAGTAAATACTTTTAATAATAAAAGTAGCTATTTAAAAATATTTACTCTTGGCTGGGAGAAGTGGCTCATGCCTGTAATCCCAGCACTTTGAGAGGCCAAGGTGGGAGGATTGCTTGAGGCCAGGAGTTTGAGACCAGCCTGGGTAACAAAGTGAGACCCTGTCTCTATAAAAAAATAAAAAATTACCCAGGGTTAGTGATGTGTGTCTGTAGTTCCAGCTACTCAGGAGGCTGAGGCAGGAGGATCACTTGAGCCTGGGAGTTCAAGGTTGAAGTGAGCCATGCTCACGCCACTGCACTCCAGCCTGGGTGACAGAGCGAAACCCTGTCTCAAAAAAAAAAAAAAAAATTACTCTCGTGTCAGGTGCTGTGCATGCTATGCATTGTTTATTTATTCCCCAAATGTTTATTAAGCACCTACTATGTGCCAGGCACTGTGCTATATACCAGTGATTTGAATGTGGGGTCTGGGACATCTGAAAAAATGCTGTTTAAACCAAGCTTGTAGGTTGCAGGTGGGTCATTCCAACCAAGAAACCAGGGTAGTAGAGGATCTTCCCGGCGGACAACACAGCAAGCATGAAGGTTCATTTAATCCTCACAATAACACAGTGGGGCGCTGATTATCCCCCCACTTTACAGAGGAGGAAAGTGAGGCTCAGACATGTTTAATTGTTTGCCCAAGGCCACAAAGCAGCCCAAAGCCGGAGCATCCTCCTTTTGTAGCTTCCCCAGGCCCTGTGTTCATGGCTGGTTGCCTTTTTTCTTTTTTTTTGAGACGGAGTCTTACTCTGTCGCCCAGGCTAGAGTGCAGTGGCATGATCTCGGCTCACTGCAAGCTCCGCCGCCCGGGTTCACACCATTCTCCTGCCTCAGCCTCCCGAGTAGCTGGGACTACAGGCGCCCGCCACTACGCCCGGCTAATTTTATTTGTATGTTTAGTAGAGACGGGGTTTCACCCTGTTAGCCAGGATGGTCTCGATCTCCTGACCTCGTGATCCGCCTGTCTCGGCCTCCCAAAGTGCTGGGATTACAGGCTTGAGCCACCGCGCCCGGCCTGGTTGCCTTTCTTGACCGTAGTTTCAGCGCTGAAAGTCCCACATCCCAGAACCCCGTTCTTCCTGGGCAAACTGGGACTGTTGATTTTCTTAGGTTGGAATGTTTGGCTGAGATCAAGCCAAGGAGGGTAGGAGGGGCGGTTTGAAGCTTTCAGGAGGAGAGAAGTCAGGAGGCTGCTCCTTGTACCCTGTAAAGTCCCCAGGCGGCCATTCCATGATCCCAGGCCACAGCACTCTGGCCTCTGCCAGTTCCCTTTCAGGCCCAATCATATTTGTAGTGTTGTGACACGTCCTTAAGGTCCCAGAGGCTAAAAGCAAGAGCTTCCCTAGTGTGCATAGACTCCACTTGTACATAACAAATGAGGCAGTTTTGCCTGGAGCTTAACATACAGAAGAGAAAACAAAGTGAATCCAGGTACAGTCAGCAGGAAGATATGTAAAGAAGTCATTATAAATTACATATTATGTTTCCACAGTGGGCTGCCTGATGATTCAAAAACATTACTTAAAAATCTTTCCCTTCCCTTTCTTTTCCGTTTCTGTGTATTTTTTATTACCCTTTCTTTTTGCCTTTCTCCCTTCCTTTTATCTTGAACATGAGTCTCTTATGTAACACAGCACCTAGCACATAGTAGGTGCTTAATAAATATTTGTTGAATGAATAAGTGAATGAAACAATTCAGTAGGCACTTCAGAGATGCAATAAATTAGCTTAGAATGTTATCTCCAGTTCAGAAGAACTCCAAGCAGGCAGCAACAACTATTCTTTCTTTGATCAAGAACAGCGTTTGGGAGAATTCAGATCAATTTTAGGGTAGCCGGATCCTCCTATCACAACATTTCTTTCTTGATGAGGTCTGTACACACCCTGCATCTGAATCACTCAAGGTGCTTATTAAATACTTACAGTTCTTAGGCTCATTCCTGGACCTATTGAGTCAGAACAGTGGCAGGGGCAGGGATTTGCATTTCTAATAAGCTCCCGGAGTGTTTCTTGTGCATACCCAAACTGCCCTATATAAGCATAGTTTGTTCACTTTGATCATTTGTGCTGCAATCCTGGGCCTCCCTCCTCCTTTCTGCTAAAAGTTTATTTGTTTCTTCCTTAAAGCCTTGAGAAGAAAAAAAAAAGAGCACATCTCTTTGGGGACGACTTTCAGTTGAAAAGAACTGACAAAAAGTTGAAATGATAGCAATGCAATATAATTTTCTCATTCTCCCTCTGTTCTTGCAGTGTGTTGCATTACTTGGCATAGATGTTTTCTGGGGGGTATAAGCTAATGGAATTTACTCAAGCACTTCAGAAACGAGTGGTGTGTTTTATATTTCTAATAAAGCTTTCCTTTCCTTGTGGTTGCAATGGCCACGAATTTGCTTCACTGGACTTCAGGTTGTTAACCAATGACAAATGACTGCTCTTCTGGGCATCTCATTGGGCGGGCTCTGTTATCCAGTGCAGGTAGGAGGAGTGATAACCCATACTGCTTGCTGGGGAGAATGCTGCATCTGTCCACTTTTTGCTGCAATCTCTCTTTCCTCGTTCCTTGTTCTCTGTACAATTTTTTTCTTTTTTTGAGACAGAGTTTTGTTCTTGTTGCCCAGGCTGGAGTGCAATGGTGCGATCTCAGCTCACTACAACCTCTGCCTCCCGGGTTCAAGCAATTCTCCTGCCTCAGCCTCCAGAGTAGCTGGGATTACAGGCATGCACCTCCATACCTGGCTAATTTTGTATTTTTAGTAGAGATGGGGTTTCTCCATGTTGGTCAGGTTGGTCTCAAACTCCTGACCTCAGGTGATCTGCCCTCCTCAGCCTCCCAAAGTACTGGGATTTCAGGGGTGAGCCACCATGCCCGGCCTCTGTACATTTTAGTTCTTAGGTTAATTTTGGTTCTGTCATCTGAATGCTGTATTTAATTGGAGTTAAAGAAAACACACACACGCATGCACGCACGCAGGCACGCACGTAATCCACCCAGACCAACATTTTCTATTCTTCATTATTCATAAGTAAGATTTATTAGAAAGGTTGATTTGGATGAATTGATGTGTTATAGATCTAGATTCTGTTATGAACATAGGAAACTGTCCCTTTGTAGGTCAAAAAATGGTCCAACGTTGGCAATTTCTTATGTTTCAATCTAATAGAAACCGCATAAATTATCCAGATGTCTATTTTTAAATTGTTATTTTAAATATACAAAATATTAAGACATACAAAAAGGTGTAAAGAATAACATAATGAACACCCATGTACTCACCATCCAGTTTAAGAACTAAGATGCTACTGAAGCAATCACAGCCCTGTCCCCAATCACATGTCCCTCATGCCCCGACCAGAGGTAGCCTGCATTATGAATTTGGTGCTCATTTGTCCCCTACTTGTGTGTGTGTGTGTGTATGTGTGTGTGTGTGTATGTGTATATATATTTTGTTTGTTTGTTTTGTTTTGTTTTTGAGACAGGGTCTCACTCTGTTGCCCAGACTGGAGTGCAGTGGTGTGATCATGGCTCATGGCAGCCTCAAACTCCTGGGCTCATGTGATCCTCCCATCTCAGCCTCCTGAGTAGCTGGGACTGTGTGCCACCACACCCAGCTCACTTTTTTTTCTTCTTCTTCTTCTTCTTCTTCCTCTTCTTCTTCTTCTTCTTCCTCTTCTTCTTCTTCTTCTTCTTCTTCTTCTTCTTCTTCTTTCTTCTTCTTTCTTCTTCGTCGTCTTTGTCTTCCTCTTCCTCTTCCTCTTCCTCTTCCTCTTCTTCTTCTTCTTCTTCTTCTTCTCCTTCTTCTTCTTCTTCTTCTTCTTCTTCTTCTTCTTCTTCTTCTTCTTCTTTTATTTTTTTGTAGAGAAAGGGTCTCACCATGTTGCCCAGGCTGGTCTCGAACTCCTGGGTTCAAGGGATCCTCATGCCTTGGCCTCTCAAAGTGCTGGGATTATAGGCATAAGCCACCATGCCTGACATGTATTTGTATATATATAACCTACTGCATATAGCCTATTGTATTGTCTTGCACATTTCTTTATTTAAATAATAAAGTATACTTATCCTTCTGCAACTAGCTTTTTTCACTCAACATCAAGGTCGAGACTCATTCATGTTGATCTGTGTCCCTCTAGTTCAATGTTATTTTCAAAAACCAAGTAGCTGAAAGGATTTGTAGTAAAATCAACAGTGTGTAGAAAAGAGAGCATATTTCTTTTTTACAATCTTTTTCCCGACCATCAAGCCAAGCTTGGTTCAGTCCATATTTTTGGAAAATATTTGTATTGAGAGAGATTACACAAGATTTGCAGGAAAAAAAAAAGCAGCCTAACAATAAACAATGGAGCTGTGTGGCTGTTTTGAGACTCATGCTTTTGCCAGAGTAAGATAATTTCTTGGTACAAAGTCAGAAAAGAGTCCCACCAGCTGGCAGTGTCTGGCATATGGTGGATGTTCAATAAATATTTGTTCCTTGAATAAATTAAAGGGGAGAGGCACCCAATTTGAAAGGACTCAAGGGATGGTGTAAGTGAGGTCTGAGCTAAAATCAGTTTTGTTCTTTGTTTCGAATTAGTTATTGTTACAGGAGGGGAAGGAGGCTTGGATGAGAAATGAGAGAATTGAATTCATGAGACCAGGCAGCTGGCTTCAGTGGCTGAGACGTGGGTTCAGATTCTGACATTTATTAGGCGACCATGGCCAAGTTGCCTAATCTCACGGTGTGCCTCAGTTTCCCCACCTGTAAAATGGGTGTAATAGGAGGGTACCCCCTCATGGGATAACATGAGGCCTATAGGTGGTTGGTACATGAAGTGTGTGGCACATGTTCTGGTCTCTAATAAGTGCTCAGAAAATGTCGTTAAGATTCTGTCCCAATGTGTCTATCCCGTGGGTTCAGAAGGCTGGAGAGGGCACGAGCAGCCTCCTAGATATTGCAGACCCCTGGGAACAGCCATCCTTTAGGAGGGTGCCTGTATCTGGAAGGTGGATCATCTAGTCACAGCAGTGCATCTTGAGGCAGGGCTTTAAATGTCAAAGAAAATGGTTTAGGATGTGATTCATGAGGCGAGGAGCTGATGCACACAGGAAGATGTCAGAAGACATACAGGTTACTGTGAAGGACTCAGGGTGCGTGCAGGAGCCAGGCCTCGCTCTAATCAAGCAGAACCAGCTTGCACAGTCATCAGCGTTAGTGTGCCTATGGGAGAACAGAAGAGGCAAAGCCTTGTTTGCGTTTTGGGTCTACGTCTCTGGGTTGTGCAGGGCTGAAGGGGGATAGCTATATTATTTGCATATTGCTGAATAAGAGGCATTTGATTGAGTTGCTTGTGAGAAAGTATAAAAGCCCAATTATGTTATTTTCAAGTATAGGATTTTCTCTTTCCGTCTTTCCTGGGCAGTAAAGAGAGCCTTTAAATTAATTCAGGGCAGACTCATAGGTTTTGTCTCATAGGGCACTTGGATTGATTGGAATCGATGGAGTGACGGTTGAGGATTTAAGGCCACACTCAGGCTCTGCAGGAAAAGTACTATGGTTGATTAGCAATGTCTGCCACAAGGAAAGGCTAGTAATGGAATGCATGCTGCATATCAACCATCCACATATTCATTTAAAGTATAGCCGGTCTATTTTTGCTTCTATACTTTGCTCATGTTTCTTTCTCTTTTTCTAAAATTACTTCCCTTTTCTTCTCTGCTGATCCAAATCCTTTTCCTGCATCTCCATCCAATTTAAGTTCCACCTCCTCCAGGAAGCCTTCTCTGATATATCTAATCTACACCGATTTCTCCTTACAATTCTTAGCGTTTGTACTATTTAATGAATATTTATATTAACATCATTTTTCCATCTCTCCATATGCTTTTACCACATGAATCTTCTTTCTGAATTTCAAGCATATGAGGTTTGCTCCTGCCTTAGTACCTTTGAACCAGCTCTTCCCTCTACCTAGAGCACCCTTTCTCCAGGTATTCACTTGCCTAGCTCCTTCTCATCATTAGCTCTCTACTGAAATGCCACTTCCTTGAGAAGCCCTCCCTGAAACCACTCCATATAACCCCCAGACCTTCTCTCTGTCCTATCACATTGTTATATTTTCCTCAAGGTACTTACTGCTGCTTGATAACTTCTTATTGATTTGTTTGCTTATTTATGTATTGCCTTTTCCTCTACCCCTCTCCACTCAAATGTAAGCACCATAAGAGCCGGGACTCTCACTGTTTTCTTCTTTATAATATTCCTAGCATCTACAATGGTGCCTAGCATTAGAAGGTAACCAAATAATAGTTGAATCAATGAAGGTCTTAGGATATTATTTGCATTATGTGAAGACTTTAATTTGTATGTAATGATTAAACTTTTCTTGGCTGTAGATTTTTCTCTTCCCAACTACATGGTGAGCTCACAGTGGGCAGGGACCAGTCATATACCCCTTGGCATTCCAGAGCAGCTGTCATGATGTTACCGGAAAGGGGTCCCAATCCGGACCCCAAGAGAGGGTTCTTGGATCTTTCCCAAGAAAGAATTCAGAGTAAGCCCATACAGTAAAGTGAAAGCAAGTTTACTAAGAAAGTAATGGAATAAAAGAATAGTCCTGAGGGCTGCTGGTTACCCATTTTTGTGGTTATTTCTTAATTATATGCTAAACAAGGGGTGGATTATTCATGCGTTTTCCAGGAAAGGGGTGGGCAATTCTCAGAACTGAGGGTTCCTCCCATTTTTAGACTGTATAGGATAATTTCCTGATATTGCCATGGCATTTGTAAACTGTTATGGCACTGGTGGGAGTGTTTCTTAGCATGCTAATACATTATAATTAGTGTATAATGAGCAGTGAGGATGACCGGAGGTTACTTTTGTTGCCATCTTGGTTTTGGTAGGTTTTGGCCGCCTCCCTTACCGCGTGCAGTTTTATCAGCAAGGTCTTTATGACCTGTATCTTGTGTTGACCTCCTATCTCATCTTGTGACTTAGAATGCCTAACCTCCTGGGAATGCAGCCCAGTAGGTCTCAGCCTTATGTTACCCAGCCTCTACACAAGATGGAGTCACTCTGGTTTGAATGCCTCTGACGATGGGGTACTCACTAAATATTACTGAATGACTGAATGAAGGAGCAGAACAGTATGTTCAGTGAGCATCCATTTGTATGAGTTAGAGTCCTGGTTTGCCTGCTTTAACAGTGGCATTCAGAAAGATACAAATTCATTTCTTTCTCATGTAATAGTCTCTAGATACAGGAGGATGGATGCCTCTGCTATCTTCACGTATCGCTTCTGTCTCTGGGTTCAAGGCATTGGCTCTAGTTCTGGCTCTCTAGCCAACAACACAAACGTTCTGTTAAAGGCACAAGTTGGAAGGGCACATCTCACTTTCACCCGTGTCTCATTGGCCACACCAAGTCACATGCCCACACCTAAGTGGAGGCTGGGAAATGTAGTCTCTGGCTAGGCAGCCATGTTTCCAGCTAAAACTTTGGATTATTATTGAATAGGGGAGGAAAGATGTTGGGGGACAATTAGTGGTCTTTTCCCATAACAGTTCAATTTGATGAAAATTTATTATTTTTTCCTGTGCTAAGCATGGCACTGGACACTCTGGTGAGCACAGGTACACATTGGGCATATTCCCTGTCCTGTAGAAGTCTATGGCCTAGTGGACAAGACAAGCAAGTAACTCTAATTCTTGGAGCTTTGCCTGGAGTAAGAGTTGATTAAATGAATAATAGCAAACATCAATCGCTGTGGACTTACTATGTTGGAAGGCACTTTGTGTTCTTCGTCCCATTTAATTCTTATAACGGCCTATAACATAGCCCCATTTTCCAGATGAGGCTCACAGAAGTATTTTAAGATATTTTGGATTTGTGGATGGTATAATCAATTGAAGGGCTAATCTCAATTTGTTTAGTTTTTATTTATTTCTAAATTTATAGATAGTAAAATTCACTCTTTACAGTACACAGTTCTATGAGTTTTGACGAATGCATAGTGACGTAACCACTACCTCAATCAAGATACAGAACCACCACCCCCATCCCAAATTCTCTCATGCTGCCTATTCTCCTACCCTCAACCTCTGGCAACCGTTGATCTGTTCTTCATTCCTATAGTTTTGCCTTTTCCAGAATGTCATACACATGAAATATTGTAATATACATTAGGTTGGTGCAAAAGTAATTACGGTTTTTGCCATTACTTTTAATTATATATACTTTCTGTGTTATATATAATATATATGTAATATATCCCTTTGAATCTGGCTTCTTTCATTTTGCATAATGCATTTGAGATACATCAATGTTTTTGTGTATATTAGTAGCTCATTCCTTTTTATTGATCAGTAGTATTCCATTGTGGTTTGTTTATTCATTCTCTGGTGGAGGAACATTTTGGTTGTTTCCAGTTTGGGGTAACTGTAAATAAAGCAGTTACAAACATTTGTGTACTGGTTTTGTGTGAATATAGGTTTTCATTTTTTTTTTTTTTTGGGTAATACCAATGAATAGGATTGCAGGTTTGCATGGTAAACATATGTTTAACTTTATCACAAATTGCCAAACTGTTTTCCATGGTGGGTGTACCATTTGTATTTCCCCCAGCAATAGATGAGGGTTCTAGATGCTTCATGTCCTCGCTAAGTCTTGTCATTGTGTTGTTGTTGATAGTCACTTTAATAGACATGTAGTACTGCTACCCATTTAGAAAGCATTTTGACCCTGCTTTGAAGCATGGCTGTTTTTCTCTTCTCCAGGCAACGTTCGTTCTACATAATTCAGCACCAGCTTAGATTCTCACTATCAAATTGAACCCTTTCCCCTTTGCTATCCACACAGGTAAGGGTAAGGGGGAATTTATTTTTCCTACTAACTGTGCTGGCTAGTGCAGTTCTTAGCTTTCCCAAGGAAGGAATGACTTGAGAAATAAATTTATTCTAGCCCAGGGCTTGAGAAAGATCTGCCTTCAATTAGCCAGCAGTATATGTTGACCTATTCAAACCAAACCATTATGACTCAGGTTGCATTAAGTTAAAAACATATTTAAATCCATATTTGGATTATGAAAGCAAATGGAATACATCAAGGGCTCCATGAATAAGTAACATTTTCATATTTTCTTAAAGGACAAATGTAGAGAGGGAAAGAAAAATTTTCTTCCCAGGGAATTATGTCTAAAGTCTATAACAATGATTCCCAAATGGGGGATGGGGGTGGGTGTGGGGTGCAAATCAGAGCTGTCAAAATTACTTGTGATGAGGAGTGTTTCATTACACATGCATACACACTCTTTCTCCCCAGGAGGATTCTGACCCTTCCATGGGGGAGTGTGGGCCCTTTCCTTCAGTTGAGAACTATTGCCACTGCGCGTTGCTGAGGGGAGTAGATCGTCTACTGGCCATGTTGGGGCAGAAAGAAGGTGGAGACTCTTCTCTAACATTGTAATTCAATGCAGGGGTGGCAAAGAAAGCAACATGTGATTCTCTCATTCCAACTTCAATCCATTGGTAATGGCTGCCTGTAGCCCTGCATAGAGGAAGATGGCAGCCTCTTCAGGCTTAGAAGGAAGGAGAGCAGGAATTGATTGGTGATGTTTGCCATGGGCACAAGCCAGCTGATATTCAGATCTGTGCCATGTGTTTGCTGTCCTTGAAATAAGAATCTTCTAAAGATCTTTGGTTTCTTTCTTCTCACAGAATTTATGATTCCACCTTAATGTTGGTAAGGCTTCATCTTGGAGATGGTAATAAATTTGTAATGCTCTGTCAAGTGGTTTTCACCTCCCAGAGGTCATTTGGCAATGCCATTTTTTGTTGTCACAAATGGAGGGGTGCTACTGGCATATGGTGGGTAGAAGAAAGCTGCTAAATATCCTACAATACACAGGGCATTCCCCTAAAACAAAAAATTATCATCTTCATATGCCAATAGTGCTGAGGTTAAGAAACCTTGCTCTATATCCTCCAGTGTTTCTTAGGATTATCTCCTAAATATATATCTTGAGATCTGACACTGGTAGAGAAATGGGGAAGTCAGACAGGAATGAGAAGGCATTCAATAAAGGACCCATTATCAAACCATCCACCAGAGATTAATCCTGCAAGGAAACTCTGAGTCAATGTAGAACGCATACCTCAGTTATCCCATCTGAGAGGTGAGGGAGCTGGGATATTTATGCACCAATTCCCCATGGTCATTACTTGAAGGCTGTTCCCAAATGACATTTTGAGAGCACCATTTATTCCCCAATAATAGCGTGCATTGTGCTGTATGTAAGAGCTTGTCTAATGGTCTTCCCCAGTAGATTGAACACTCCATGAGGGCAGGGACCATATCTATCTTGCTTATCATCATAGCTCCAGCATGTAGTAGACATTCAATAAAGGTTTGTGGAATGACTAAATGACTAACAGCCTCTTTGGGATAGGCATACAAGAATGGCATGCAATAAATTAGGGCAGTTGACTAATACATTTTGACTATGGGGTAAGAGGTTATAACAGAGAAGATGGGAGAAGTTGACCAATCTGTGTTCTTACGTTTGATTAAGGGATTGCCCATCTTGTCATACTGATAGAAGCCATATTAGATACTGCTGCAGAACTTTGTATATGCTGCATCTCACCACCACCTTGTTTTTCTATCTTTATTCATTAGTCTTCCTCCTCACATATCACTTGCTTTCTTTTCTGAGTCAGTTTAACTTCGAGCCTATAGTTTTTTTCTTTTCTTCCTTCTCCCCATTGCACCAAAATAATGTGAAGAAAAAGACAAGTCAGAATTTCTGTCCCCACAACATATTTCAGGCTCATTCTGCACTCAGGTTGTTTTCTGAATCTCTTTGTTATGGCAGAGAAGCAGATTGAAGTTTGAGATTGACAACTGTCTCCTCCCCATGATTGGCAGTGAGACCCTTGTGTGTGTGTGGTATGTGCACATGCACGTGTGCTCATGCATCCATGCATGTGTATGTGTGTCTTTGGAGATTTCAGGAGGAACTGATTAAATCCTGCAAAGTTCAATGTCAGACTGAATATTTTCATGTGAGGTAATCAAGCTAGGCATCTGAACATAATGATAGATGACATGGGGGCCAACCAATACATCTTAGGCTATCAGATTGTGGCAGGCAGATGATGTTTTCCACATGTTGGTGGCCATATTGTTTCTTTGTTCTGTAAATATTGGTAGCTCTTGCTAAATTAAAAGAACAAGATTTTCCTTCCAGTTTTAATGAAGATTTATGATAACCAGGAGACAGTAAATTATGGTGTTTGTGTCAGTTAGCTATTGCTGTGTAACAAACCACCTCTAAATCTCAGTGACGTGCAACAAATGTTTGGTTCTTGCTCATAAGTTTGCAGGTTGGCTGGAGTGATTCTCTTTCATTTGTCTCTTATCCTTTTCCTGGGACTAGTAGGCCATACAAGGCATGTTCTTTTCTTGGTACTGGCAAAATTTAAAGAAGGCAAGCCCAACTGTGCAAGCATATTCCAATCCTATGCTTGTGTCACATATGCAGGTATCATATTGAGCAAGTCAGAGCACATGGTTGAGCCTGAAGTCAAGAGGTAGGGAAGTACACTTGGTCTTTTGTGGGAGGAACTCAAAGTTACATGGCAAAGGGCATGGTTACAGGAAAGGATGAAGAATTGGAGCAATGTTTCAGTCTATCACAGTGTGTAGAGCTTGGGTTATGGAGTCAGAAAGACCTGGATTTAAACCTTTGCTCCTCCATTTACTAATTATGACTTGACCAAATGACTTAGCCTCTTTAAACTTTGGTTTCTCATCCATCTGACAAATAGTTATAATAATGGTATCCACACTTCAGTATTGTTGAGAGGGTTAAATGAAATGATGCATGTAAGCTACCTAGCATAGTTTCTGGCACACGGCAAGTGTTCAATAAATTTCAGCTAAAAACAAAGCTCTAAATAGTAGGATAAGCTCTTCCAGGGGTGTGGATATGAACTAGACATCTACTCTTGACATTAGCCGCCATGAAAATTACTCCTCCATTGCCCTTCCTGGAATTTCAGGGACCTGAAGGAGTTGGTGAATCTCCAAATATGCCTAGCTTAGGTCACAAGAAATGATCTGAAAGGATCTGAGCCTTGGAAAAGGAAGAATGTTAAACTTTAAATTGATCAGCAGAAAAATATACAACAGCATTTACTCAGGATAGCAATATTTCAGGGAAGCAAACAGATGGAGGGCCAGATTGTGAATATATCAGACTCCAAGGAATCTATTAGAAAACATTAATGTACTTGTTATAGTTAAATATTTTAAATTTGTTGGGCTGACAATTATAAGCAAAATAATATCCCTTTATTAAAAAATTAAAGTAGCCTACAGTATTATAGAGCAGTAAGATTAGAAAATGGATTTTTTTTTTTTTTTGGTGGTGATCTACCTTCCTTAGATATTTCAACTCAATGGCAAGAGCTGCTAATCTCAGTAGTGCATACTTATTGGAACCTACTGTAGCAATGGTAATTGCATTTGAGATATGGCCACATTAGATGTTGTAATCCCAAGTTACATATGACCCAATGAAAAGAAAATGATAAGGCAGCTGGCAAGTGGAGCTTTTAATACTTCTTATCCAGAAGTTTATGTCTCCAATTTTCATGCATTTCCAAGTTCCATTAACAAAAGAAAAAAACCTCTTATTAAGTAGAATAGAAATGGATTTTAAAAGTAGGAGTGAATCTCCCTTTCCCCAAACTCTTTTGAGATAAATCTGTCTGCACCTATGGTAATTTGATGAATGGACTTTATAAAGGTGAATAGAATGTCAGGGCTGAAAGAGGCAGAGAAATTTTCCATCCCCACTCCTCCTCATTTACAGAGGAGAAGACTCTTCGCCCTGGAAATGGATTGAAGGTTGATTGGGAGAGCTTTTGCTCATTAGGCTTGGATTTTTATGGCTAGCTCTCCTACCTCCCATCATGCCTCAGAGATCACATGAGAATTGGTTATTGGAATTGTTTCCTTTGGGAAAGAATGCATAGCTCTTCAGAGATGGTGTCCTGATCAGGTTCTGTAGGTAGGCATGAGACTAAATGGGCATGGGCCAAATACAAATTCTTATTCAGGAGTAAAGAATTCTGGTTGTCAAAAGGCTTTATAAGTAGGTGGTTTAATAATGTAAAAGATATGATTTCATCTGTACATTCTAAGGAATGTTGTAGAATACTCTACTAGTTGCCTAAACTCCATATTCAGTCTACTTCTTCATCAGTAATGGACTCCTATGTTGTTGGTGGGCATCAATATACTCAGCTGAAAATTGTATTTTCCAACTTCACTTGTGGACATGAGTGGCCAGTGAAATGTAAGTAGAAGTATTGTTGGTGCTTCCAGGAAATTTCTTTAAGGGAGGCTGGGCCAAATGGGAGATAGGAACCCTTTGGCCATTTCCTTTTCTTCAGTTCTTCCTTCCTGAAATGTAGATGTTGTGGTTGGGGCTGCAGCAGCTATGTTGTCACCATGAAGCAATCTTGAAGATGAAAGCCACATGTTAAAGTTGGCAGAGAAGAAGGCTAGAAACAGCCTGGGTTGCTGGTGACTTTGTGGGGCTGCCATAGCAGCCTGGTACTCTCCACCTCTGGACTCATTTTATACAAGAAGTAAAATAAGCTCTATTTTGTTTGAGTATTATTTTGGTCCTGTTAATATGCTGCTAAATTGAACCTTAACTGATATCAGTGTCAAGGAGACACACTTATTAGACACTAAGAGAAGAACTATGAGGATCAGTAGGGAAAAGGGGGAGACAGAGGAAAAATAATAACTTTACAATTTGCCGAAATTGTTCATCTATCTCATTTCTCTGATCTTGTCTGATGATGTTGGTATGTATATACAGTTGGCCCTTGAGCAGTGTAGGGATTAGGGGAACTGACAACTCCCTCCCCCTGTACAGTCAAAAATGTGTATATAACTTTTGGTTCCCCCAAAACTTAACTACTAATAGCCTACTGTTGACTGGAAGCCTTACCGATAACATAAATAGTCAGCTGACACATATTTTGTATATGATATGTATTGTATACTGTAGTCTTACAATAAAGTAAGCTAGAGAAAAGAAAATGTAATTAAGAAAACCATAAGGAAGAGAAAATACATTTCTAGTACTATACTGTATTGATCTATACTGTAAGTTTACATAGTCTGTTTACAAGATGAATCATCTGTCTGAAACGGTGGGCAACTGCAGCTGCAGACCTCAATCCAAGATACATATCCTGCAACTCGACTTTTTCTTGTAATGCCATGACCTTTCTCTGCTTCTTGGGAGCACTTCCAACATCACTAATGGCATTTTGTATGGGTCCCATGGAGTTATTCAAGGTTTATGGTATTGCACCAAACATGATGAAAAATCCACGAGAACCGCTAGAGATCACTTTTTACTATGATACACAATTTACTGGAGAGATATACTGTTCACTTGGAGATGATTATTGTCACATGGCGTTTTAGGTGGATACTCTCAACACTTGAGCTCACTGAAATAGCAATAGAAGGTGGCTACAAAATTATTACAGTAGTACAGTATGGACGACAGTTAATGTTATGCAGTTATGGTTTAATATTGCATATTTACATATCTCTCAACTGCCAGTTGTGCCATGTATGCATTGTAAGTATTTGTGTGCAGAAGTTTTAGTAAGTTCTAAATTTGTGTAATGGATTTGTGTATATTTTATGGTAACAAATGATAAAATACTCAAGTATCTATGTATATTTTATGCAATTATGACATACTTAACTTTTTCTTAAATTTTTTTGATTTTTTTTTTTTTTTTTTTTGGAGACAGGATCTATCTAGCTCTGTCATCCAGGCTGTGCAGTGGTGCAATCGTGGCTCACTGAAGCCTCATCCTCGCCGGCTCAAGTGATCCTCCTGCCTCAGCCTCCTGAGGAGCTGGGACCACAGGCACATGACACCATGCCTGGCTAATTAAAAATAATTTTTTTGTTTGGTAAAGACAGGGTCTCACTATGTTGCCCAGGCTGCTTTTGAACTTCTGAACTCAAGCAATCTTCCTGCCCCAACCTCTGAAAGTGCTGGACTTACAGGCATGAGCCACTGTGGCTGGCCAATATTTTTTTAATATTTTTTGGCAGTTTATCTTCAAGTTTATTCAAATGGTTGCAGATCTCCAAAAAATTTTTCCAATATATTTATTGAAAAAAAGTCATGCATAAATGAACCTGCACAGTTCAAACCCATGTTGTTCAAGAGTCAACTGTATATATACTGCTATTTCTGCTTTACAGATGAGGAAACAGGCTCAGCGATATCAAATGCTTATTTATAGGTTTATAGTCACCAACCAGGTTATTGTTGTTCATCACTGTGTTCTCAGTGCCTAGCACAGTGCCTGGCACATAGCAAGTAAGCAGTACATATGTTTTGATGAGGCTGAGCACGGTGGCTCACGCCTGTAATCCTAGCACTTTGGGAGGCTGAGCTGGGTGGATCACTTGAGCTCAGGAGTTCAAGACCAGCCTGGACAATATGGTGAAACCCTGTCTCTACTAAAAATACAAAAATTAGCCAGGCGTGGTGACACACGCCTGTAGTCCCAGCTACTAGGGAGGCTGAGGCAGGAGAATCGTCTGAACCTGGGAGGTGGAGGTTGCAGTGAGCCAAGATTGTGCCACCGCACTCCAGCCTGGTGACAGAGCGAGACTCTGCCTAAAAAAAAAAATTGGCTCATGCCTGTAATCCCGGCACTTTGGGAGGCCAATGTGGGAAGATCACCTGAGGTCAGGAGTTTGAGACCAGCCTGGCCAACATGGTGAAACCCCGTCTCTACTAAAAATACAAAAATTAGCCGGGCATGGTGGCATACGCCTGTAATCCCAGCTACTTGGGAGGCTGAGGCGGGAGAATTGCTTGAACCTGAGAGGCGGAGGTTGCAGTGAGCTGAGATCGTGCCACTGCACTCCAGCCTAGGTGACAGAGCAAGACTTTGTCTCAGAAAAAAAAAAAAAAAAAAAAAAAAAAAAACACGTTTTAATGAATAAATGCATCTTCTGCTTTTGAGGGGGCACTTTCCCCACGACCTCATTGTACCACTTCCCTGACTTCTTGAGAAAGTGGTGGAGAAGAGGGGAAGAGGGGAGAAAGGAAAGGAGCGTTTGTGATGCCAAGTGGGAAAAAGGCCCCCATCAGCTTTCTTGGAGCCTGAGCCATTGTTGGTTGAGACAGTGTGAATCGTGGTAGACACCAGTTGTTTTGCTCCTTGCATCTTTTCATCTTTGCTCTAGTAACATCTCCTCGATTAGCCGCTTGGGGGTGCTTCAGGTGACATCTGCTCTGTCCTCTACTCAGGAGTGGGAAACAAATTTAGTGTGACCAATCAGAGGTTGGTGTTCTTCTGGCCACGGTGATTGGTTCAGGGAGAGACCCGTGATCAGATCGGAGCTACCTGCCATGTGATGACTTTAAAATTATTTTAAAATTTTTATATATTTAGGGAAGATGAGTGTAGTTTTTGTTGTTGTTGTTGTTGTTGTTGTTGTTGTTGTTGTTGTTGTTTTTGAGACGGAGTCTTGCTCTGTTGCCCAGGCTGGAGTGCGGTGATGCGATCTCGGCTCACTGCAACCTCTGCCTCCCGGGTTCACGCCATTCTCCTGCCTCAGCCTCACGAGTAGCTGGGACTACAGGCACCCGCCACCACGCCCGGCTAATTTGTTGTGTATTTAGTACAGGCAGGGTTTCACCGTGTAAGCCAGGATGGTCTCGATCTCCTGACCTCGTGATCCACCCGCCTTGGCCTCCCAAAGTGCTGGGATTGCAGGCGTGAGCCACCGCACCCAGCCTTTTTTTTCGGGGGGGTGGGGGGTGTACTGGGGAGTGGGGGATGGAGTCTTACTCTGTTTCCCAGGCTGAAATGCAGTGGCACAGTCTTGACTCACTGCAACCTCCACCTCCCTGGTTCAAGTGGTTCTCCTGCCTCGGGCTCCTGAGTAGCTGGGATTACAGGTGTGTGCCACCACACCTAGCTAATTTTTGTGTTTTTAGTAGAGACAGGGTTTTGCCATGTTGGCCAGGCTGGTCTTGAACTCCTGACCTCAGGTGATCTGTCCGCCTCAGCCTCCCAAAGTGCTGGGATTATAGGCATGAAGGTGCGATTTCTTACATGCATATATTATCTGGTGGTGAAGTCTGGGCTTTGAGTGTACCCAGCACCCAAATAGTGAACACTGTATTCACCCCTCTCTAATGATTCTTGAAATATACCTTTATTATGAAAATTTGTAAACCAACAAAAAGCAGAAATAATACTACAGGGAACCCCCAAATACCCATCACCCAGATTCAATAATTATAAAAGTTTGGCCATACTTACTTCATTTTTCCCCCTTGTTTCTCTTATTCCTAAGATTTTTAAAGCAAACCCAGATATTTGCCATTTTATCTCAAAGTATTTTAGTTTGCATCTCTAAAATATAAAGGCATTTTTCTGGCTGGGTGCAGTGGCTCACGCCTGTAATCCTAGCACTTTGGGAGGCTGAGGCAGGCGGATCACCTGAGGTCAGGAGTTCGAGACCAGACTGGCCAACATGGTGAAACCCTGTCTCTACTAAAAATACAAAAATTAGATGGGCGTGGTGGTGCATGCCTGTAATCCCAGCTACTTGGGAGGCTGAGGCAGGAGAATCACTTGCACCCGGGAGGCAGAGGTTGCAGTGAGCCGAGACTGCGCCACTGCACTGAAGCTGGGGCGACAGAGCCAGACTCCATCTCCAATAAATAAACAAATAAATAAATAAATAAATAAAATAAAAAAGAAATGGGAACTAAGGCTTTCTCAGGTAAGGTGACAAATCTAGAAAGAAATCAGCGTTCACCTATTATCTTCACTCTTGGCTCCCTGAGCAGAATTTTAGACCCTAGTATCAAATTAGACAATTTTAATATCAAAGAGACATATCGAAGAGGTGTTGTGTTTTATCAATCCCACGTGCTGGGATTACAGGTGGCACATGCCTGTAATCTCAGCGACCTGGGAGGCTGAGGCAGGAGAATTGCTGGAACCTGAGAGGTGGAAGCTGCAGTGAGCTGAGATTGCATCACTGCCCTCCGGCCTGGGCGACAGAGCAAGACTCTGCCTCAAAAAAAAAAAAAAAAATATATATATATATACATACACACACACACATACATACACACACAGACACAGACACACACACACACACACACACACACACACACAGACCCCCCCCCCCCACACACATATATATATATAGGCATTTTCTAACATGACCACTACCATGAGACTTTTGCTGAAACTACTGAGAAAATGATAGGTGTTTCTTTCCCATGGAAAGAAACTTAAACTTAAGTTAAAACTTAAACTTGGAGGGATAGAACCCTGAAAATACTGGGAGCATTGCATGGAGTCAAAGAATAAAATCAAGTAGTGAAGTCAGTCTAGGGATTAGAAAGAAAAGAATCTTGATTATATAGTTTGTGTTCCTAGGTTAAACCTTGCCTGAAGACCACATTAGTAACTTAAATGAAACCACACAGTGTCTATTTCACTTAAGCCAGTTTGAGCAGGGTTCTTTTGTTCACAACCAAAGAATGTCTTCACTGATTTAGAAACCACTATCTTTTCTCCTGGGATGACGATTTCTTCCCCTACAATAGCTTGTCTTGAAGCCAGACCTCAGCCCAATAGTCCAGTATATAAAAACCCATGAATATGTAAAGTAGACCTACTGAAGAAGAGGAAAACCAAATTACTCCAGAAAGGCACCAGTTTTCTCCTTCATACTCATGTTCAAGGGGGAAAGCTTGATGTGGGTTTTCCTTCAAATGCAAGTAAGATCCTTTCAAGGGTGGGTGCTGTGTGTGGATTTTTAGTCTATTCTAGGTACACAATTTTCCTTCTATGCTGGGAACAAAAGGTGGGAAAGTGGCAAATCATGGAAGCATGGCAATTTATCACCAGTTTCCTTTTGTGTTCTCAAGCCACTAGACTGGGGGAGGACCCTGCCCCAATTTTGTGGGGCAAAGTTGGCAGATCCCAGCTTTAATTTCTCTTTCATGTTTTCATAGCATCTTGAAATGGCTTTTAAGCTTCTATTTTTTTTTCCAATTCATCCTTTGGCAGGAGGACCATAACCCTTATAATCATGGACAGGCATCAAATGAACGCCCTCAACTTGCATGCAAAAATGTTTTGTGTGTGTTTATATAAGCATTTTTCTGGCTGTCATAGCTTTCAATAGGAAACCAAAATGTTCTCAGAACTATAAAGACTTAAGAATCAATGCCTTCTAGGTGGTTATTAAGTATTAGACTGTTCCCGGTATTTAACCTTAAAAGAATTTACCACCCACCTTGGAGGTGGCAGAGTGTTACTGACAAAGCCAGTCCCCCAAAAGATGGGGTCTTTCCTTGTTTGGTGTCATACACCAAACAAAACAAATACACAAAACTGAAAGAGCATGTCAAGCAGTGGTGACTTTATTGGATGGCTATGGAATTGAGAAGCAGGAGCATGGCTCACAAACCAACTTCTTAACAGGGGAGGGGTGAGGGGGTTAAAATATACCATTTCTCTAATGAAAGTTTGGGATACTAGAAGCAAGGGGAGAAATATTCATGTCTTTTCTGGGAATGGGCAGGGAACTTCCCAGAACCAGAGCGCTGCCTTCCTTTTTGTCTTTTTATGGCTTCTTCTGGTCATTGTCATAGTGATTGTCAACTGTCATGGTGCTAGCGGGAGTGGCTTGGGAACACAAAAGTGTCACTTAGCATGGAAATGAGATGATAATGGAGCCTGAGATCTTTTTGAAGTCATTTGGTCAGCAATTTTGGTTCTAACCAGTCTTAGTTGGTCTGATTACAAAGGGAACTTTTTTTTTTTTTTGAGATAGGGTTTTGCTCTGTCACCCAGGCTGGAGTGTGGTGACACAATCATGGCTCACTGCAGCCTTGACCTCCCAGGTTCGGTTTCCCTCCTATTTGGTGGCACACACCTGTTGACCCAGCTAGGAGACTGAAATCCTCCTATCTCAGTCCCCTCGCTGAGTCTACAGGTAAGTGTGTCATCAAGCCTGGCTAATTTTTGCATTTTTTTGTAGAGACAGGGTTTCACCATGTTGCACAGGCTGGTCTTGAACTCCTGGGCTCAAGCAATCCACCTGCCTTGGCCTCCCAAAGTGCTAGGATTACAGGCATGAGCCGCTGCACTCGGCATACAAAGGGAATTTTTTTTTTTATCGCAGGTGTCTTGTTTCTTAAAGATAAGCAGAGTTAGGACAGGGTAGAAATTCAACTATGTCACATAGCCATTACACTGGGTAACAAGAGGAATCCACTAAAGTCCTAAATATTGACTAGTTGCTTTAATAGAGTGGAGGAAGGTGAACTGCTAAGCTTGATACATAACTCGTAATCCAGTTAGCTGCAGTTTTACCCATACCACTGGCTAAAAAGCCAAAGGGCCTTGCTTTCCATTGTGATTCTGCTACTCACATCCTGCATGGACATGGACATGTTATTTAGCCTTTCTGTGTGTTATATGTTGAATTATTCCCCCAACCCTGCCAAATTCATAGGCTCAAGTCCTAACCCCTAATACCTCAGAGTGTGACCTTATTTGGAAATAGCGTTGCAGATATAATTCATTCCAGTAAGGTTATAGCTGGAGTATGATGGGCCCCTAATCCAATATGACTGCTGTCCTTATAAAAAGGGGGAAAACTGGACACGTACACACACACACACACATACACACACACACAGAACACCATGTGAACATGAAGGCAGAGATTGGGGTGATACAGCAGAAACCAAGGAATGCCAGTGATTTCTGGCAACCACCAGATGGAACAGATCCTTCCCTTACAGCTCTCAGAAGGAAGCAACCTGGCCGACACCTTGGTCTTGGACTTCTAGCTTCCGACTGTGAGACAGTGCATTTCTGTTGCGTAAGCCACCCAGTCTGTGGTAGGGTGATCCTGCAGCCTGAGCAGACCAATGCACTGGTTGAGGTCAACACGGAGATGCACCATTAGACTTGCTGTCCAGCTGCAGGGAGTGCAGCCAACTGATGGTCTCCAGCTGTTAGCCCCATCAGGGGTAGCCTCAGCTGCAGAAAGCCAGCTTGCCCAAGGTCATGCCTTTCTCTGGGAAGTCAGTGTCTGCATTTGAACCAGGTAGGGGTATGATATAAAGGCTTGGCCATGTCAGCCCAATGCTGGAAAACCTCCAGGGACTGTATTTGCTGCAGAGCTTCTCATGGGGTTGGCTGAGGCTGTGCAAGGCCAGCGCATCCAGCATCTCTCTCCGCCCAATCCTGCTTCCTCCTTGGTTCTTTTATAAGTGTTGATCCCTAGGAAACATTTTGCACCCCAAACTCCATTCAGTGCTTGCTTTTGGAGACCCCCAAGTGGTGACATGGGGTTTTAACTTTCTCATCTACAACCCGTGAAAATACCTGGCCGAGACGGTCAGTTAACCAACGTCATTGGAAGCAGGCTCTGGCCATTTCCATCCCCATGCCACTGAAGAAGGAAACAAGAGCCATTGAAAGGGCTTCTGATGCCACAGAGCAAAGAACATCCCAGGAAATGAGGCCAGCCCTGGCCATTGTTCCAGGGCTGGCTTATAGGGCACACTGGGGCTCAGATCTCTGTAATTTACCAGCTCTTGTAGGCTGCTACAGCCTCCCTGGTGACTGGCTGAACAGAAAGGGGGACATTGCATTGCTATGAAATTCTCTGCAATTTCCTATAAGAAAAGAGCTGAGCCGTGTTCCAGAGGGATCCTCTCTAGGAGCTCTGTGTTAGAGTTGGCTGTGTTTTGAGATGCTAAATATTGTGGATAGGAGGAGAATGAAGTGTTTTACAGTATGACAGGTGGGACGTTCTAAGTTCTATAGTTCATTTCATTTGATGGTGTGTGTGTGTGTGTGTGGATCAGAGAAAGAGAGAGAGTGGGAGAAAGAGAGAGAGGAGAGAGAAAGAGAAAGAGGGAGAGAAGAATAAGTCAATGAATACACGTATAAGTTTCCATTCTCTGTTTTTGTGAAGATTCAATATGTGGTATGTTAGGCAGTCCAGAAGTGACAATCATTTTATACATCCTTCAATGCATGCTAATAAATGCCAGTCCACAAAATATATGACCTATTATGCAGCTTTTGAGCCTCAATAAATGTCCAGCTCTCTATTTCTATTAAATTTAGAGGAAATGCCTGTCTTCTAAAAGCTTAATCACCTGTGAATGCCTTTGGGAGACTTTGTAACAAATGGCAAATCAGAAGAAGCTTTCTTAATTTCCTTTATTCCAATCTGCTCTGTTAAAGAGGCCCTCAACAGCCTCCTGGGTTTTTTCCTGGCCTGTGCAGTTTGTGCCATCTCGTCCTTCCTCTCACTTCTAATTTAGCAGTTTCAGATACTAGTATTATGTCAAACCCATTTGGGGGATTTTTCCCTTGATGACTTTCTAATTAAATCGTCTACAAAAATGACATTTAATTATGGAGACAGGTGTTTTGTTTTTCTTTTTTGGTCCCAAAGACAGCAAATATTTCAATCAAATTGGTTCAGTCCTTGTACATTTTTCTCTCCCTTTCTCTTGCCCAGTGAGATGCCCCACCTCCCCAAAAAATCCATAAAGAAGCTACATAATTTGTGTGTTTTCTTGATTCTTTTGACAGGCTTTCAGTGGGCTGGGAAGCCTCGGGCTCATTTCTCAAGTTCCAGCTTCGATCAGATAACTATGTTTGATTAAACATCCTTTTAAACTCATTATCAGCTCAGCAATGACTTCTTTCAAAATGACCTTTCTGATGATCTAATCGCAAACAAGCGTTTCTGGAGGCATGAACTTCAGTGTTCTCTGACTGGTGTCCTTGGTTCGTGGTGGGTCCTGTGGAGGCTTCTCAGAATGATGCCCAAGGGAAAAGCTGGGTTCTGGGGTGTCAGGCCACTCTCTATTACCTTGGCTACTTCTGAGAGCTGGACTCACTTTAGAGACTCAGTTTGGAGGTGGAGGATGAACACGCTCATTTCCAAAGATTTAGAATCTCAGGCTTTGAAGTCCAACACACTTGGGCTGGCATCCCCGCTCTCCATTTGCTAGCCATGTGATCTTTTGGGCCTTGTATTTCTTACCCGTAACATGGGATTAATAATTCCTACTTTCTGGGGTTGTAGTGAGAATTTGATGAGTCCATACATGTGAATGCTCTGGGCACCCTCATTAACGCACGCTAGGTTCCCCAAGAAATGGCTTTGTGGGGAGATGAACGTGCAGGATGTTTAATAAAGAGAGCTCTTGGGATCCACCCTAGTGGGAAGGAGAGGAAGGGAGCAGAATAAGGTAGTGGGAAACATTGAGCTGCAGTGAGGGTCCAGTCATTGCTTCAGCTGACCCCACAGAGCCCTGGAGCTAGAATGGCCCTCGAGAGGTGTCCTGAGTTGGTTCAATATGGTCAGGCCTGTATACTCAGCATTTGTTGAGTATGGGCCACCCTGGGAGGTGTGTGGCTTTGGGTAAGGTGGCTCTGCAGTTGACATAGTTTGCTCTTCCTTGAAGGTGGATCTAGAGTGTGTAACTGTAACCATCAAAACCCTCAGTAGATGTTGGCTATTGCTGTCATTAAGAGGATTAAAAGGTAATTGGACTTTGGGAATGTTTTTCTCTTCTGTAAGATGCAGACCACTGTCTGATTTGAATATTGCATTACAGTTATCAATTTAGTCATTCATTTCACAAATATGCATCAAGCTGCTCCTGTAATGAGCTGGGCACTGTGCTAGGCTCTGGGTCACCTCCCCTGGCACTCATGTGTCTCATGTTTGAGATAAGAACCTCATGCTCTGCAAGTTTCAAGCATGAGCCTGTGCTACAGACAAGGAAACAAGCTCCAAACACACCTGCACAGATTTGCACACACACCCGTACACACACACCTGCACACATACCTGCATATACACACATCTGAACAAATACTTTCACACAAATACCCACACACATTCCTGTGCATATACACCCATACTGGCACGCACATATCTGCACACACATACACCAGCATCACACACACATACAGCATTAAGAGTTGGTTGTGAGGTGTGTTAGGCCTTCTTGGAAGCAGACACATAGTTAGGGGTGCAAGAGGCTTACTGGGGGTTAATGCCTGTGAAAGATAAAGGGGTTGAAGCAGGAGTGTGCAGGGGAAGCCTTCAGCTTGTGATGCAGGCTTGAAGTGTTGGCCCACCCAACAGGGAGCTCCCATCAAAAGACAGCCCAATGAAGAAGCCTCGAATTGGTCAGAAGTGACGAGGCCTTAGTACCCCTGCCATGCCCAGTCATTGACTGGGGCTACCTGAAGAGAAGGTGTCTTGGTTCAAATGCTGCAGCAGATCCCGAAGGTTCTCCTTGCAATGGAAGGAAATTCTTTCTTAAAGGAAGATAGAAGCAGCACTTCTCTGAGGCTGCCAAGTGAGGATTAAAGACAAGCGGATGTGCAAACAAGAACCCAGCACAGAGTGGGCATGGCAGATGCAGAGAAGGATCTGGATGACTTTTCCTTTCCTTCTACCTTTTCCTCATGTGGTTTCATAATTTCTAGCAAAGAATAGGAGAGTGTAAAAGGTCATGCAGCTTTAGGTGGCTCTGGTAACAATAGTATTATTACTATGTTAATCTATTGAATGTTTATTAAGTGCCAACCACTGTACTAAGGAATTTACATCTGTGGCCTCTACACAGCTCTTTGAATTAGATATCTTATTATTCTCATTATACAGATGAAAAAAACGAGGTCCAAAGGGGGAAGTCACTTGCCCAAGTACAGTCATGAGCTGCATAATGATGTTTTGGTCAAAGATGGACCTCATATATGATGGTGGTCCCATAAGATTGTACTACCATATTTTTAGTGTACCTTTGCTATGCTTAGATATGTTTAGATACACAAATGCTTACCATTGTGTTACAATTGCCTACAGTGTTCAGGACAATAACATGCTGTGCAGGTTTATAGCCTAAAAGCAATAGGCTCTACCCTATAACCTAAGTGTGTAGTCAGCTATACCTCTAGGTTTGTGTGAATACACTCTATGATGTTCACACAATGACCAAATTGCCTGAGAGCACATTTCTCAGAACATATTCCCATCATTACGTGACGTGTGACTGTACATGGCGAATATCAGTCCAAGTGTTACCAGAAAGGGGTCCTAATCCAGACCCCAAGAGAGGGTTCTTGGATCTTGCTTAAGAAAGAATTAAGGGTGAGTCCATAAAGCGAAAGCAAGTTTATTAAGAAAGTAAAGGAGTAAAGAATGGCTACTCCATAGGCAGAGCAGCAGCTTGGGCTGCTGGACTCAGGATATTTATTTCTTGATCATATGCTAAACAAGGGGTGGATTATTCGTGAGTTTTCTGGGAAAAGGGTGAGGAATTCCCAGAACTGAGGGTTCCTCTCCTTTTTAGACCATATAGGGTATCTTTCTGACTTTGCCATGGCATCTGTAAACTGTCATGACACTGGTGGGAGTGTCTCTTAGTATGCTAATCCATTATAATTAGTGTATAATGAACAGTGAGGACAACCAGAAGTCCCTTTCGTCACCATCTTGGTTTTGGTGGTTTTAGCTGGCTTCTTTACTGTATGCTGTTTTATCAGCAAGGACTTCGTGACCTGTATCTTGTGTTGACCTCCTATCTCATCCTGTGACTCAGAATGCCTAACCTCCTGGGAGTGCAGCTTAGTAGGTCTCAACCTTATTTTACCCAGCCCCTATTCAAGATGGAGTCACTCTGGTTCGAACACCTCTGACACAAGCTCCCAAACCGAAACTCTTCTCTGACTGCCATTTGCAGTCCTGGGTGTCACAGAGCAGAGATAACAGCCTCGGGAAAATCGCCCAAGGAAGAAACACAATTTAAGAGCTTAGTATCGATTATCCTGGCTGACAGCAAAAATGGCCAATGGCCGGATTCACTGGGAGGTTAAACTCTGGGAAGCTGTAAGGCTTGTAAATTCCACTGGGACCCTAAAGCACTTTGCAGGGAAGTCAATAGAAACAAAAGGAAAAGGCATGGAGAGATGTTGGGGAGAGAAGCTTAGAAACTTAATTTTGAGTGTGTGAGCCTCTAAGAACTCAAATTAGGTAGTCTTCTTACCTCCCTCATTAAACCTAGCAGAAAAAAGCCTCTTCCAGATAAAAATGTCTAGAAATGCCCCAGGGCAGAGGTTTGGAAACCTGCTGTGCTCTTGCCTGCTGGAGTTAAGATTTCGGAGGGAGGACATGCCTTCGTTACTGCCATGTCAGCGGAGGCTAATTGTTTTTTGAATCTGTGCCTGGCAGAGCCTGGGATGGAGAATGACACTTTGCACTTGAGCCTGCCAGAGTTAGGCACCCAGAATTTAGGGTTCACTAGACGCTGGGACAGAGATGGTGTGGAGCAGCCTGGCTTCATGGTGTCCTGACCTTGGTCTTCCCCACCTCCCCCCAAGCCTTTCTTCAGTTCTGACCTGCTCATTGTCCACTCTGCTCAAATACCTTAAGTGGCTCCTCATTGCTTAGAGGATGAAATTTAGGCTGCTCCATGGACCCACTGGGATCTATTCCTACCCTACTTTATTACTCATGCTACACGATTCCCATTTGAGAGAACATTGTTCCCATTGTTCCCTGGGAGGACATCCTGAGACATGTTCTCTAAACGTGCCTTGCCCTTTACTTTCTTCTTGACTTTGCATAGGCTGTTCCCTCTGCCTGGAATGCTTTTCCCCCTCTTCTAAACCCCTACACATCCTTAAAAGCCCAGCTCAAATTTGTCTTGACTTTGACTCATTTACAGTGGGGTTTCTCAACCTTACCACGTTTTGGACACTTCTTGGTTGTGGGAGCTTTCCTGGGCATTGTAAGATGTTGTGTACTACCCCTGACCTCTATGCACGAGATTCTAGTGGCACTACCCCCACCAGTTGTGACAACTGAAACTGCCTCCAGACATTGCCCAATGTCCCTGAGGGACAAAACCACCTCTGTTTGAGAACCATTGCTTAGCCAGTGTTTAGCAGCTTCTTCATTGTTTACCTGACACCTTGTCCAGGGGATCTTGTCTCACTGTGTTGTACTTATTTGCCTTCTGACTGTCCCCTCACTGGACCAAAAGCTCCTTCAGGCTGGGACTTTGTCTTCTTCAGCATCTTGCATTGGCCTGGCACATAGTAAGTGCTGCATAAATATTTGGTGAACACATGGAGAAATGAGACACGGAGTGTGAGCACTGCAGCTGTCTAGAAATGTGCTATTTCATAAAGCCAAGGGCAATTAACGACCCTTGGGATAAGAACAGTGACCACCTCATGGGACTGTGCATATTAAATGCCTTAAAGATTTAAAGCTGTCAGAATAGGGCTGACGCATACTAGGTGCTTAATATATGTCAGCTACTGTTGTTGTTGTTATTTTTCTCACTCTGGGGCTCTCTCTTTCAGAAAGGCTTGCAATTTGAGGGTAACCAATGGCAGGCAGACATGGATAGGTGGACATAGTGGGGGAATCTCTCTTGAGGCTCAACATATGTAAATTTAGGCTACTTAAAGAAAAGTACTTCTGGCCGGGCACAGTGGCTCATGCCTGTAATCCCAGCACTTTGGGAGGCCAAGATGGGAGGATCACTTGAGCCCAGGAGTTCAAGACCAGCCTGGGCAATATAGTGAGACCGAGTCTCTACAAAAAATACAAAAATTATCTGGGCATGGTGGTGCACACTTGAGATCCTAGCTACTCAGGAGGCTGAGGTGGAAGGATGGCTTGAGCCTGGGAGGTGGAGGTTGCAGTGAGCCGAGATTGTGCTACTGCACTCCTACCTGGGTGACAGAATGAGACCCTGTCTCAAAAAAAAAAAAAACAAAATAAAAAAAAAACAAACAAAAGCTACTTCTTTATAAAGTGAGTTGTTAATAGATATTATGCTAAGGGATGAATATACAGACATAGTGGATGAGATTGAGGACTGTGGACCAGACTGTTTGAGTTGGAATCTTGAGTCCATGGCTCACTTAGCCTCAGTTTCCCCACTTGTAAAATGGGGATAATAATATGTACCTTATAGGGTTATTATCAAGGTGGAATGAATTCATGTATATAAAACAACACATAGTAAGACTCTATGAGTCTATCACCATCATTATTATTATTATTTTTAGATGTATTCTTGAATGATAGCTCCCAAATGGATCTTCCCCAAAGGGAATCTGGAATATTCGAGGACTGTTTGGATAGCATAGACATGCCATGACTTCCCATTTCAATCCCAGACAGACATGGCTAGTTGATCCTGCAGTTTTTTTCCCCTCTGAGCCATAGACTCCTCCTCCAGGCAGCCACCACTAATCAATTACGGTATGAACACTGTTTGCATCATTATCCTTAGGGATCACCATTAAGTACTGGGGGAAGGTGCATAGACCCAGGGTTAAGGACGTGAAGAAGAGTTTCCCTGGACCGAGTCCAATAACTGGAAAAAGACTGGGCCTAAATCCACACAGAGAGCTACTAAAAGTGTTGTCCATGACCGGTGCTGGTCCGTAAACTGTTGCTGGTCTGTGAGGAGCTAAGTACCAAAATTGTTATTAGTGTCTTACTTTCCTGAGGCTGCTTTAATAAGTTACCACAAACTGGGTGGCTTAAAACAGCAGAAATGTATTCTTACAGTTCTGAAGTCTGAAATGGAGCAGCAGTGAGGGCTGTGCTCCCTCTGAGACTTTGGAGAAGTCCTTCCTGGTTTCTTTCAGCTTCTTTTGGTTCCCAGCAATCCTTGGCATTGCTAGTCTCGTAGCTTTGCCTCAAATCTCTGCCTTTATCATCACGTATCCTTCTTCCTTGTGTATATCTCTGTGTGTTCATTCCTCTTCTTTTATAGTTAGTTAATTAATTAATTTTTTTTTTTAGAGACAGGGTCTCACTCTGTCACCCAGGCTGGAGTACAGCTGTGTGATCTCAGCTCACTGCAGCCTCAACCTCCTAGGCCCAAGAGATCCTCCCACCTCAGCCTCCCGAGTAGCTGGGACTACAGGCGTGCATCACTCTTTCCTTTTCTTATAAGGACACACATTTTTGGGTTTATGGCCCACCCTGATCCAGTATGTCCTCATCTTAACTAATGACATCTGCAGATACCTTATTTCCAAATAAGGTCACATTCTGAAATTCCTGGTGGACATGCATTTTGCAGGGGGTACTACTTAACCCACTAAGGGAGTAAGCACTTTCTAGACCACATTTTGAGCAGAATTTAGATGGTTCTATTCTCTGCCATCACCACTGCATGGGTGTAGAAGGGGGCGGGAAGGGTCCCCTGGAAGGTGAGTGGTGGTGTTTTTTGTTTGGGGAGCTGCACTACCTCCAGCTCAATCAAAAAGAGCAGATGACTCACCGGATGGTTTTGTGCTGAACAAATTAAACCCGTCCCATCACAGCAGAGCAGTTCAGCCAACTCCATGCTGAACTTGTGCCCATATCATACATTTCATAATCCTAATTGTGGCTTGCATTTCCCTTTTGCCTTCCAAACCAAAGGCTCATCATAACAGATCTGCAAGCCCTGGGAGTTGGGTTTGTTTGCCTAGGTATTTGGTTTTCTCTCTTTTTTCCCCTAATGAATAATTTTCTAATGAAAGCAAAGTAGGGTCGCAGTATGAGGTAGATGCATGCACGAAGGAGAAGAGGCCAGAATAAACAGACTTTGCAGGATCTCCAGGTATTCCTTCCCAGGGAGCAGCTTGTAACTGTTAATGAACTTGGATAGGTTTGCTTGAAAGCCAAGAGGTCTCTGAGAGAATGCCCAGGATAGCTTTGAAGATGTGATTGAGGAATTCACATTTCTTCTCTGCCAACCCTGCCTCCTCAAGAGGACACCCAGCTTGTAAGTGAAGTGATAGTTCTGTGAGTTAAATGAGAAATCTGTAGGTTACATAATGTTGTTGATGGCAATGGTAGGAATTAGGTCTATTTTTTTTGAACACCTGCATGAACTCAACTGCTCTCTAAATTTTAGATCAACTTTGTGAAGTGTATAATTCTATCCTCCATTTTCCAGTGGAGGAAACTGAGGCTTAGGGAGGTGAAGTCATTTGCTTAAAATCACACGAGGAGCCGTCACCTGAGCTGGGGTTGGAACTCGTGCCTGTGGAAACTCATGCCCTTATGCCTGCCCTTAACAGGGAACAATGCCCAGAATTTGAGAAGGTCATCTGGCCTCCCCCATTTCCATATGGAATGACAGGTGTCACCTTGAAGAAATTTAGAGTTGGCTGTTACATTCTTCCATGAAAGGAGCTGTGGTTTATTTGCTTTTGGATTAGACCTGGGTTCAAATTCTGGCTAAGGCACTTACCAGCCGTCCTGGTCTTGGCCTTATTTATCTGTCCTCTGTTCTTTTCTGATTACAGGGGCCACATCCCTACAGCCCACATCTTCCACACTTCTTTGTCACTTGGCTTCCTGCTGGGTTTGTCCAGTGGGAGGCAATGGCATTACAGGAGAAGGCAGAAGGAAGGAAAGACCAAGGAATTTCTTCCCCTCCCTCTCTGCCTCTGGAAGGTTTGTTGACTCTTCCAAGTTTCCAGCTTCTACTGGGTGACACTGGCCCCAAGGCTCTAGGAATCCTACCTTCTCCCTTCATCCCCCCCCAGCCTTGGGTAGTAACCACTTTCTGCTGTTGCTAGTCTCTGGCTGGCCTCACCCTCCCTTATAGCCTCAGCTCCCTCCTTACCCATGTAACCAATCCCCTGCATTAAATTCTCTCTGTCGTAAATACTTGAAACAGTTTCGGATTTCTTGATTTGATTTTGACCGAGACACCAGCTAAGTTGACTGCTTCTTTTAGCCTTGATTTCCCTATCCGTAAAATGGAGATAATAATAGTACCTTCTACCTAAGGTATTTGTGAGGATCAAATGAGTTAATTTTAGTTAAACCCTTGGCTCAGTTTCTGGCATATAATAAAAAGTTTTCCCAGCTTGGAGACCTTAGGCATGCATTTCCCGCAACAATTTAAGCAGCATAATGAATTCTATAGTTAGCCAGAGAGCTTTATTTTGTTTCACTTTTTTGAAAAGTGTTGGTTCTGGGTATGCATATTAATGAATATCACCAGAAAAATACACTCCAGTGACTAAGCCTGGGAACTTAGTCTAACAGCTTTTGCCCTTCTCTCTTCCTCCTCTCTTTCACCTCAAGGAGTGGGCAAGCCAGCACCTTTTCTCAGCACCATGCATAGCCAAGTGGATGCAGAGAAAATGCTGAACTTTCAGAATTTCTTGAGGTTCCTGAAAGCCTCTGTGTCATCATGAAACAGAAGCTCATCTTACAAATCTGTCTTTCATAGAAGCTTCAGTTACTGATGCCAAATGTCAACATATCAAATTGTTGGCTAATTTTAGCCTTATCAATGTCTTGCAGACATGTAATTAACACCACAGTTCAGCAGCAATTCAGGCGCGGAGTTCCATTTTGCATCATGATTTTCGAGACCTTGACCATTAGTGCTAAGGTTCAAAGTCTGAAAGTGCCATCTCCATATGGGATGTCTCCTGTTCCTCCACACCTCCACTTGTCCTTTTAAAATCAGAATCAAAATGGTCCAAGCTCCCATTTCATGTATTGTAGGATGTCCAGTGCCTTCTTGGATATACCTGGGAATCTCAGAGGGCTTTTGCACTCCCAGTCACTTCTCGTGTGGAATTCTAGATGGGTCCATGTGGTGGATGGTGTCTTGCCTCCTGAAGCTGTTGTTTCCTCTTCATCTTACTTTAAACATTGCCCACCCCCTGCCTCAGAACATCCCCAGATGTTCTGGCAACTTCTGTGTAGTAGGCTTTTACTGAAGGCTTGAAAATGGCTGAGCTGGACAATGGCTCAAAACAAAACAGAAAACAAGTTAAAATGGAATAGTCAACACTGTACATTTCCTTAGCCTCTCCCACCGTAGGAATTTTCTCATCAATTGCCTTTCCTGTTGGGCTCCCCTGTGCTGCCATATGGCTGGGGCTTTTCACTTCCTCCAGCTCTCTTATCTCAGCTTCTCTCATTTTGGATTGCTCCTTAATCTTGTCTAGTGACCCATCAATCTCCAGACTCCAAATTCACACTACTTTTGTATAGAGGGTAAAAACATTTTTGTTCTTTCCCTCCCACTAGAATTCCTTGTAGACATAGAGCTGTCTTTGTTTAGAAGACCGCTTTAATGAGAGTTTGGGGAGAGAGTGAGCTTTCGACCCCCATGTCACCGGTCTCACTCCAAAGCATCAAAGACAGTGGAAGGGGATAGAGATGGGAGGAGAAGAGAGGCCTCAGAAAGTTGGAGAGAGAGAGCTGTGTGAGATAAAGTAGCAAATGTAAGAAGCCATGTCTGCTCATTTCTGCTTGCCAGCCTAATGTCAGAAGCCTCTGACTCTGTGATGACACCCATCTCTCTGGAAACATGTGTTGAAGACAAAAGAGGATACAGCACACAGGCCCCCCATGTCTTTTGCCTGAGTCACTACATTCCTTAAAAGATAAGTGACCCTAGTCCTTGCCTTTTCCTACACATAAGATATCATCTGATGGGGTTAGCGATTGTGCCTCTATAATCTATAACCAGATGTACTCTTACATCCAACTTGGATGTGATTTTGCACGTACTAAACCTCTACCACCTGTATATAAGCAGTGCGCTAAAATACTGCACCAGAGCAGTCTGATAGAGCTCTCTAAAGGACTGTTCCCAGGCTATAGGCTTCCTTCAGTCCACAGTCCTCAGTAAGACTTCTGAATAAAGCTAACTTTAATTCTTTAAGAGCTTGATTTTTTTCTCTAGTTGACACCTGGGAGAGTTGAAAGTCCAAGCGAGATCCCAGGAGAAATTTTGGGATTGGTGATGTTTACAGTGTCCATCAGCCATTGTTCATGTTGCCATGATAGATGTCTCTTCTTTGGGCCCCCTGTGGAATATTCAGTTAAAGAGAACATTATTAAGGCATTCTTGCTGTGGGTAGACTCTTCCGGGAAATTGGAGAGGAAATGTTGTATACGAAGTTCATGTATCTGAAGAAGCATCCACAGCAGCAGGAGCCACGGCACCGAGACGGCCATGAGGAAATCAGCTTTTGAGACATGAGGAAATGTAGGGACAAGACTGTTCTGGAATGTGCAGATATTTAGGAGTTGAGCTTTGGGACTTCATTAGGCAGTGAGATTGATGAGAGCTGAGGTTCCAGCAGGAAACAGTTGGCATTCTCAGACTGGGTTATTTGAGGAGAATTTAACTCAGGGCTGTTTTCGAAACAATGAATACAGTCCAGGGAAACCAACAAGAAATAGTGGAGGATCCTGGGGCTGCTGTCAGGGCTGGGGGAGAAAGTCAGGTTTATTGCTGGGTAAATGCTGCACCTGACATCCCAGCATGGTGAGGACCAAAGGAGCTTGGGGTGGCACATGGCTTGTGTATTAGCTTCTTATGGCTGCTGTAATAAATTACTACAAACTTAGTTGCTTGAACTAATACATATGCATTATCATCTTATGACTGTGAAGATCAGCAGTCCAGAATGGGCCTCAAAGGGCTAAAATCAAGGTGTTGGCAGGGCTGTGTTCCTCCTGGAAGCTCTAGGGGAGGAGAATTTGCTTTCCTGCCTTTTCCAGCTTCTAGCGGCTGCACATATTCCTCAGCTCCTTGTCCCCATGCAATCCTATCCCTCCAACCTCTTGCTTCTGCCATCCCGTGTCCTACTTCCTCTTCTGTAGTCAAATCTCCCTCTGCCTCTGTCTTATTCAGACACTTGTGATTACACTTAAAGTTCCCTCCAGATAATAGAGAATCATCTCTGCATCTTGACATCTGACAAATCCCATCTTGCAAGTTCTCTTTGGCTGGGTAAGGTAACATAGTCACAGGTTCTGGGGATTAGGACGTAGACCTCTTGGGGGTGGGTGGGGAGGAGCAGCAGTATTCTGCCTACCGCAGCGTGGAACACTCCAGGCTCCGCATTTGTTCACTGTGGTTCCCACAGGCAGACCAAACCACATCACCTTTGCTGCAGGAGCAACTCTAGATGTGCCACTGGGTATCAAGCATCCCACCTGCAATATTTGTTTCCCATCAGAGAGATGCAGGGGTTTTTCCATAGAGACTACACTTGGAGAAACCCAGCTCCACACCGTCTGGTGTTGCTCACTCTGCAAGCATGTCTGCTCCCTGGCTACTGTGTACGCTGCTAAAAACAAAGCCAACAAACTCTTCTCTGTATCCTCCCAGCAGCCTCATGGGGAATCGCACAGGGTAGGCGCTCGGTAAATGTTGTGGCTCATCAGTCTTCTTACAGGACTGTTTTGAGTAGTTGGGCTGGATGAAGTACATCTTGAATAGGAGTTTAGGGTTTTTTTTTCCCCCCAAGGGCAATAGGGAGTCACTGAAGGTGTCAAGTAAGAGCATGACAAGATTTGTGGCAAGAAATGGAAAAAGATTTGATGTTCCAGTAAGAGGAGGCTTTGGGCAAATATGTGGAGATAGGATTTTTGAAAATACAGGTTTGGGGACTGCTAAGATTTCATGGGGTGATGTGGGCAAGATTTTCTTCTGATTTGCCTCCATCAACACTTTATAATTGTGTACACACACGCTTTCACCCTCAGGCTCTGAGCCTGATTATCTTTGTAACCCCCACAGTGTAGCACTGGCCTGGCACATAGTAGGCGTTAATTAAAATTTTGGTGAGTCATACTGAACTTGGCAAGCCACTTGACCTTGACTGTTCCAGGCTTCAGTTTTCTTTCTTTCTTTCTTTTTTTCCAAGACAGAGTCTTGCTCTGTAGCCCAGGCTGGATTGCAGTGGTGCGATCTCGGCTCACTGAAACCTCTGTCTCCCAGGTTCAAGCAATTCTCATGCCCCAGCCTCCCGAGTAGCTGGGATTACAGGCACCTGCTACCATGCCTGGCTAATTTTTGTACTTTTAGTAGAGACAAGGTTTCACCATGTTGGCCTGGCTGGTCTCAAACTCCTGACCTCAAGTGATCCACCTGCCTTGGCCTCCCAAAGTGCCAGGATTACATGCGTGAGCCACCATACCCGGCCAGGCTTCAGTTTTCTATTTGTAAAACAAAAGAGTGAGACTAGAGCCCTCACAACTCTGACTCCGTGGTATTTAAAATCCTGCTTCTTTTCATGGGCAGCATTTATCTGGAGACCCATGTTTCGGAGGGGAGTTGGGCTGGAAAACTCTGAGGATTTCCGCAGCTCTGGGACTTTTAGATTTATAGCTGCTTGTAACATTTATCAAGAATTTGTGTGTGCCAGAGACTATTCTCAGGCCTTGCAGGGGGTCATCTCATCAACTCTTTGCAGGAGTCCTATAAAGAAAGGCACTATTAGCCCCATTCTACAGATGAGGGAACTGAGGCTCAGAGAGTCAAGGGGGTTGACAAGGTCGCACAGTCAGGGGAGACAGGGCTGGGATTTGAACACAGTTCCCCTGACTCCAGAAACCAGCCTTTACTCTGTGCTCTGATGTTTGGATTCTTCTTTCAGTTTTGTTTCGTTTTGTTTTAACCTCTAAACATCTCAAGCATGTGTATCCCAGGAAAAAAGATATTCTCTTACATTGCCACAGTTCAGTTTTCAAAAGCAGGGAATTTACCATCTCTCCAACATTATCATCTAATCCACAGCTTATTTTCAAAGTGTTTCAACTGTCCCAGTAATCTTCTCTTTATTCTCTGTCCAAGATCTAATCCAGGATTGTGCATTGTATTGAGTTGTCATGTCTTCTTAACATTTCCTCTGGAGCAGTTCTTGGCCTTTCTTTGTTTCTTGACTTTGACATCTTTGACGCTTCCAGGCCTTCAGTGTGAGCTTTCCTGATGCTTCTGTGTGTTTAGATTCAGGTTGTGCATTTTTGGCAGGGATGATGCAGAAATGATCTGAATTCTCCCCAGTGCATTTTATCTGGAGGCACCTGCTATTGGTTTGTCTTATTCCTGGTGAAGTTGATCACTTATGGTTAATACATTTTTCCACTGTAAAGATACAGTTTCCCCCTTTGTAATGAATAAGAGATTTGTGGGGAGATACTTTGAAACTACTAAATATATTGCTATTTATCACACTTTCACTCATTGGTTTTAGCATCCTTTGAGGGTTTTCTAACTCCATCATTCCTTTTGCAGTTCTTAGTTGGCTTAGAGCTTCTCTTCTTCCCACCCTCCATTTATTCATTTTATTCACATTTATGTATATTGACATGGACTCATGGAGCCATTAAAATCCATGTAAGCTGATTTCCCTCTGGTTGTTTTTGCCAGGTGAGCTATTGCTTCCTCATTTGTTCCCAGTGTGAATTCAGCTCATCTTACCATTTGAAAATCCAAAGACTTCAACTGCTTGGAAATCTTCAGTTTTAGCTAGAAAGGAGCAAAATCACAGACTTCTGCCCTAAGGAGGAGGGAGAGGAGTGAGTGGGGAGTCTGACTGCTCACTCCATTCCCATAGCTCATCTTCCAGCAATGGCCATCCTCCAGCAGTGGGGTGCACCACAGGGTCAGGGGAGGTGGCTTCCAATTCTGTGGTTTCCTGGTGGTGGTCATTTCTGTATGTCAGTCTCTCTCCTTCCTCTGTTTGTGATTGTGGAACTGTAGATGCCTCTTTAAGAGGCAGGAGTGTTTATGAGCTTCCCCGAGGAAATCCAGGAAGGTCATTTCAGACTCATCTTGCAGTTTTCTCTTCTTAAAGAGTGAATCCAGATGAGGTTAAGTCCCCTTGCAACCTGTTCTTCCTTGTCAGAGTACTACGTGTGTTTCACATCTTTTTTCTTTCCTCCTTTTCCTCCCTTTTTCCTTCTTACCTTCTTTCATCCCTCCCTCTTTTCCTTTAGCAAATGAATGCTCTTGAACACCTACTATGCGTTCATCCACCAACAAGACAAACACAACCTGCTCTCAAGCTCTCCTGTGGCAAACATACATTAAACAATGTCACAATTAAATGCATGATCACACACTTTGATAAGTGCTGCAACAGAATGTCAGAGGAGGGACGTACATGCTCATGTGACAAATGAAGAAGCAGAGGTACAGACTCCACAGCCACCACCCAGAGTCAGGGAAGGTGTAGAAGCCAGACCTCCAAATACCCACCCTGCCCTCCATCACTCAACCCAAGCCTTAGGTGTTGAGGGAACAAACCTCACCGAGATCTCAGGTGGGCCAAGCATAAGGCTGCTCTCAGGCTAATTAACGATGCCCTTCTTTTATAGGAAAAATTGCTGGAAGTTGTAGGAGAGCAAATATTTACCTTCTCCACCAACCAAAGAGTCAGCTTAAGTAAAATGCGAACATCTGTCTCTTGTGTAAAAAAAGACCTGTGCAGGTGTAGCATCAGAGGAAGGTGGCTCTGCAAGACCTGTCTCCTTCTCTGCCAGGTCTTTCGGCCCTGCTCTCTGTCTCTGTCTGTCTTGGGTCTGTCTCCGGCAGTTTCTCTGCCTCGTGCTCTCTGTGTCTCTGTTTCTGCCAGTCAGCTGCCTCTGTCTCAGTCTCTCTCTGTCTCACCTCTCTCCCCATCTCTTTCCCCAGCCTCCCGTTCTGTGTCCCAGCCAGGATCAATTCTTTGAAGTGTCCCTGGGATGCCACCTTCTTCCACCCTCCCAGCCATTGCAGGTGTTCTTCCACTTTCTGGGAGTGGTTGTGTCTGTGCCCCCTTCCCAAATTTCTGCCTATGTTATTCATCCTTTAGGTCTGAGTTTAAATGTCACCTTATATTTTGAGAATCCTAAACTCCACAAGAGCAAGGATTTTTGTCTTGTTTCCACTGCTTGCTATGGTCTGCAGGTTTGTGTCCTCTCCTTCCTCCCACCTACCATACCACTCCCCACCCCAAATTCCTATGTTGAAATTCTAACCTTCAAGGTTATGGTGTTAGGGTAGTGGGACTTTTGGGAGGTGGTTAGGTCATGGACTGGAGCCCTCATGAGTGGGATTAGTGCTCTTATGAAAGAGGCCCAAGAGAGACCCCTTGCCCTTCCACCATGTGAGGACACAGTGAAAAGACGGCCATTTATGAACCAGGAAGTGGGTCCTCATCAGACATCAAATCTGCTGGTGCTTTGATCTTGGACTTTCCAGCCTCCAGAACTATAAGAAATAAATTTCTGTTATTTTTAAAGCTCTTATGGCATCCTAAACAGACTAAGACAGTGCTGTATCTCTAGTGCCTTTTAATGACATTTCTATGACTATAACTTATTTGCTGATTGAATTAATTGCATCTAGAACAGTGCCTGGCACATAGCAAGTGCTCGGTCAATATTTGTTGAATGAATGAGTAAATGAATCAATAGTAGGTCTGTTCTGATCTCCCTCGATCTGGGTCTGTGCCCCCATAGCACCCTGCCCTACCACTGTCATAGTTCTTATCTCTATTGTAATCTCTTAGTTGTGGCTTAGGCTGCTGTAACAAGACCTCAACAATGATCCGAAGGCATCAGGAATATAGAAGTTTATTTCTTTTATGTGAAACAGTCCAGGGTGACTGCTCCAAGTGAACAAGTGGTCCTTACAGTTATTCATGGACCCATTAGCGTGGACTGACAGCAGCTCTTCCATCCTCAACGCCTGGCAGCCAGGAGCCCCTTCTTGCAGCAGAGGTTAAAGAGCATAGAGAAGCAGCTGGATTTCGGGGGCCAACCTGGAAGAGACACACATGCCTTCAACTCACATTCTGATGGAGACAGGTGGCTCCATCTAACTGCAAGGAAGGCTGGGAAATGCAGTCCAGCGTGTGCCCTGGAAGATGGGGAGAAAAGACTTGCGGGGCAGCTGGCAGCCTCTGCCACATCTGGGTGCCTGCATGAATTGCTCACTGGGCTGTAAGTCCTATGAGGGCAGAGAACATGTCTGTGCAGTCATCCTTGTGTCTCTAGTGCCTGATGCACAGCCTGACTCATTATAGATCCGTAGTTCCCAGACGTGTATGGCTATACATTGGAATCATGCGGAATGTTTAAAACATCCTAATGTTTGGCTTCCACCACCACCCCACTCCCCCACTGTTTTTTTTTGAGACAGCACCTTACTCTCTTGCCCAGGTGGAAGTGCAATGTTGCAATCATAGCTCACAGCAGCCTTAAACTCATGGACTCAAGGGATCCTCCTGCTTCAGCCTCCTGAGTAGCTAGGACTACTGGCACATGCCACCATGCTTAGCTAATTTTTAAATTTTTTGTAGAGATGGGGGCCTTACTATATTGCTCGGGCTGGTCTTGAACTCCTGGCCTCAAGTGATCCTCCCACCTTGGCATCTCAAAGTGTTGGGATGACAGGTATGAGCCACCATGCCTGGCCTGCTCCCACTCTTGAACATTCTTATATAATTGCTATGGTGTGGGACTTTGGCATTGGGATTTTTAAGCTTCCTAGATGGTCCTAATGTGTAGAAAGATTTAGGGACCACTGCCATTGACCCTGAATAAATGAATACATGCATGCCTGAATGACCAGATGTGCCACCAGATGTTGACACACTGTGCCAGAGGCTACGAACTGATATTTTGGGAGATGACATGTTTTGTTTGCCTTGTATGGGGCTTAATTTTTTTTTTTTAATTATGCCAATTCCCAAGATTTAAAAGCTGGAACATGCCATATCATACTTTGGACTTTTGGTCTCTCTTGAAAAATCAGATGATCTGGCAACACTGGGATCCTTGAGGATGCTCTCATGTTCTTCTTTATGTTCACTCTCCATCCCTTCACCCATTTGTTGCCTACCTGGAAGCTGAAAGGCATTTGCATATGATTCTCTCATCTGAGTAACCTTCTGTGCATTATCTCAAGAATTTCAGCTTTTTCTAGAGTCAGGAGAGAGAGAGTGATGTGTTGTCAAGGCCATTCTAGGCTGGGCACTTTTCCTGCCTCTGCCTTCAATCCATTTGATCCAACAGCCCCCAGCCCAGCCCACTGGAAACAGAAATAGATTTTGTTGATTTCGTCAGTGTTCTGGGATGTGGGCAGACAATGTAGTGGGATGAGCTCTGAACCAGGAGTCAGGGTGTGGGGTGCTTCCCTGGGCTTGCATTAACTGAGTAATCTTAGAGACAGGACATTTTTCCTTCCCAGCTCTCATCTGTAAAAGGAGGCAATTGAACTCAATCATCTTTCAGTTCCCTTTCTACTCTCCGACTCTCAGAATTACATCCCATTTTAAAGATTCAGCGTTTTCTCCTTTGAGAAGGGTCATTTCTGAGGTAGAAATCTGCCTGGTTTATGACTCGTCCCTGAAATAAAGATACTGACACATCTTTTCCTGATAGAAATCAGCCATTTGCCAGTGCTGTATCCAACCATGCAAAGCTATATGGCAATTAATTAAATCAGTAAATAAATTATTGTCATACAAATCCCATTAACAGGTGAGAAAGGAGAGATTACATCTTTTAGAAGAGAGCTTAAACATTAATGTCTGCCTTCTTTAAAGAAGAGCTTATTTTTTATCTCTCAACCAGACTAATAGTTTGTTTATAGCAAATGCTCCCAGAAAGAGATATATTAAAAACCCTGATTCACCATGGGCTGAATTAGAGTTCTCTCTTTTTGTTTTTGTTTTTTTTGTTTTTGAAGGAACCTCACCAAGGAGTCCAGATGTCTGTATCTGCAGGAAAGCATCTCTATGGGATGCTTAATAATGCATTCCTGTCTGGTCACTGTTGAGGTAGTTGTGCATGCAAAGTGGTTTCCAAACGAAGGGGGCCTCCTTTCTCCTTCACACTGAAGGTGAAGGAGATAGCTTGGAGGTAGATATGGTTCTCTCATCAGCAGGGAGAGCCACTGCATGAACATCTATTATAAGCCTTACAGCACTGCAATTTTATCTTTGTAGAATGTGCCTAAACTAGACAAAGGCCACGAGTAATAATGCAGTGGACTTTGTAGTTGTCTCACTGTCTTAGTTTGGGTTCCTACGAAATAGACCCCCAAGTCAGAGATCCAAGTGTAAGTGGTTTATTGGGAATGTGGTCCCAGGAAACACTAGGAGGGGAGTGGGGACATGAGAAAGTAAGAGAAGGGAGACAAATAGGGTGAGTCACCAACCCAGTTACTACTGAGGACAACTGGAGCTTAATCCCACTGGGCAAACCTGAGAGCCACTGTAGAACATGCACCTCAGTTGTTCCATCTAAGGAGTGAGGGAGCTGGGGTATTTATGCACCTACTCTATCATCATTGGTTGAAGGTTGCTCCTTAGGTATATTAATTCCCTGATACTTCTCCTTGACATGAGTGAGAGTAGAGAGGCCAATAGGGTGCACTGCAATGGTAAGGCCCAAGAGATGGGTGGTATGTAAGAGAGGATGCTGCTATGTCCAATATCCAACTCCCCTCTTGAAACATGCCTTAACTTTCGTTCCATGTCTTTCCTATTTAGCTTTTGGAGGATGCTGAATCTACTTTCACTCCAGGATCTAGGTCTAAACTAATTGTTATAATTCTACCCCTGGCCACAGTTATGGGTTCAGGGGGAGCACATGGACAAGTTAGGCCAATGAGGAGCTAGGGGTTCTGAGAAAACTTTCTCATTCTTCTGAGAGGGCATCTAAAGTCAGCCTTCTCTCCCCTTGTATGGACCTGGGGAATTAAAGCACATAGCCTTGGGAGTTGTCGGGGACCATCTTGAAACCATGGAGAGACAGATGGAAGAGGAAGCCAGCACCACAGAAGCCAGGGAAAAGGAAAAAAACCTGAACGTTGGTCTCACCAGTGAGCTGCTGAATCAAGTCATCCTTGACACTTGGCCTTCCTTAGGACTTTTGGTTATTTGAGCCAATGAATCACTTTATTATTTAACCTCATTGTTGAGTTTTCTGTTCCTTGTAACTGCATACTCACTACATGATTCACACACACATGCTCAGCTTGGGCGAGGGAGGTGAAGTGAGGATGTGGGCTTCATCATGCGATGTTGGTGGGATAATGAAATGATGGAACTATCCTGGAAGTCATATGCATAGCAGGCAGTACAGTGCTATGATTGTGAGTTTGCCCTTTGGAAGCAGACAGATCCGTCTTTTGTTCTTGGTTCTGCTGGTTTGTAGTTGTGTGACGTTGAAAGGTTACACACCTCTTTTAGCCTCAGTTTACCTGTCTATAAAATGAAGGATAATAAAAATACCAGCCTTATAGTATTGTTCAGAGGTAAAGGAGTGTGAGGCCTGGCATGAAGTCCATGCTCAACATATGCTAATACTAATTATTATTCCCTTTATGGAGAGAAAATGTGGTCACAAGGATCAGAAGCCTTAAGACTGTGCATAAGAGTCAGATAAATGCCTAAAAATATATGTATGAGGCTGGGCATGGTAGCTCATGCCTGTAATCCCAGCACTTTGGGAGGCTGATGCAGGAGGATTGCTTGAGCCCAGGAGTTTGAACCAGCCTAGGCAACATAGGAAGACCCTGTTCCTATTTTTTAGAAAAGGTTTTTAAATAAAAATATATGTATGAGAATTTTGTTTGTACCACTCTTTAAATTGGCAAAAAATTGGAAGCAGCATAAATTTTTAACCAATTATAGTATGGCTATAGTTTAATAACAGGGGTTATTAAAATGATGATGTGTATGATAATATTGTCATGCAAAGATGCTCTTTACATATTGTAGGACAAAATCAGTAAATTTAAATTTAAAGCAGTAAATAAACATTAGTGCTGCTTTTGTAAGATAGGGTGTGTACCCCAGTGTTAAGATTTGCTCTCTTTGGGGACAGGATGTGGTATTAGGGGTAAGTTTCAAGCCTTTCTTTTCATGTTATTTAGGTATTTAATTATACAATAAGCACATATGACCTTTGTAATCAGAAAATCCCAATCTTTTATATTTTCAAAACACAAACGAGGTCCAATTCTCCTGACTTGCTAAATTATTAAATGCCCCTCAGTTTTCTAAATGTAAGATTCGTTTTCACTATTTCCCACAAATGGTATGGCTCATAGAAAGGATTTTTTCATAACCTTTGTTTGTTTCTCATTACTAGTAATATGTGTCTGTAACAAAAAATTCAATTATAGAAACTTATTACTTAGTTTCTGCATCTTCCACCCTCACCTTGTTACTCACTCCTAAATTCAAAATGTGTGTATTTTTATCTTTTCAATGCATAAACTTATCTCCTGTGTTTATTTTCTATGTATATGCTAATACGTATCTCTTGTATGTCTTCTGTTCAAAACCACAATCATTGGTAAACCACTTCTTTGACTTAACCTTTCAACAAAACAGAAATATTACGTTATATGAGCAGGCAAGTCTTTTTTTTTTTTTTTTTGAGAAGGCAAGTCTCAATTTCAAAAAATAATTTTAAAAAATTTGCTTCTTCAAATCAATAACTAGAATGTATACATATATTTTTCTATTAACATATAATTCATATAAGTAAAAAATACACAGGTCACCAAGTGCAGAATTTGATGAGTTTTGATAAATATGTATTTTTAAAGAAAATAGGGCCATGCTTTATAGACTTCCTTGCGACTTGCTTTTTTCATTTTGCAATATATCTTGAACCTCTTTCCTCATCTCTCCCATTCTCTTAATAGCTGTACAGGTTCCCATCATTGAGACTGTATGATCATTTATTTCCCCAACCCCTTCTAGATGTACATTTGGGTGGTGTCCAGTTTTCTTTTTTTTTTTTTTTTTTTTGCTGTTGTAAACAGTGCAGTGAATATCCTTGTACATCTATCTTTGTGCCCTTGTGGGATAATTTTTCATAGGTGGATTGTTATTGATGTCTAAGCACGATCGATTCAGACTGTTTCTCGTGGAATGTTCAAGAGATGTAATCTCTGTCCTCAGAAAGGCCCCAGCTAGACAAACAAACACGATTCCACTCCTGCTTTTCCATTATGGCCCTGACCTCAGCTTTCATGTCAACCCCTCCCAAAGGTGAGGGATTCTGGGCAGAGCCCACTTCATTAATCCCCAAGTTTCAAATTTTGTACCCACGTCAAATCCTATCCATTCAATCAGGGCAATTTTGGAGTTTGCATTCATCAAAGGAATGCCAGTTCTGTGCTGGGCTCTTCTGGGCTATGAGATACTGTGGTACACACAGGGGAGGCAACAAATAAGGAAACAAGTAATGCAGAAAACTCAGGTGAGCCACTTCCTGAAGCCCCACCTGGTTAACTGCAGAGGGTGATGGGTGCTGATCCTCAGATGCCCTACTTTGCAGTTAGCCCTACCAGCTCTAACTGGAAATGGGGAAAATTTCTCTCTGGTGAAAAATAAAGTATTATTCCTGTTTCTTGCCTGATCTGCAGAGAAGTATGCTCCTTTCTCTTGTTAGACCCAGGAAGGCCCTAAGATTGACGATTTCACAGAAATAAGTCCCAGATTTTTCAGAGGCAACAAAGAATAGTGAAAAGAGCAAGGTCTGGGGGTTAGAAAGATGTAAGTTTGAATCCTAGTTATGATTGGCTGAACAATGGTCCTCCAAAGATGTCTATGCCCTAATTTCTGGAACCTGTGAATATATTATCTTATGTGGCAGAAGGGACTTTGAAGATGCGATAAAGTTAAAGGTTTTGAGGTGGGAAGATTATCATGGATTACAATGATCTTTATACAGGAGAGGCAGGAGGGTCAGAGTTCATAGCAGGAGAAGTGACAATGGCAAGAGAGGCCAGAGTTATGTGCCACCATGAGTCAAGGTGTGTAGGTGTCCTCTAGAAGCTGGAAAAGACGTGGCAATGATTCTCCCCTAGAGCCCACAGAAGGAGTGCAGCGCTGACAATCCATTTGGCTTCTGACTGTCAGAACTGTAAGATAATACATCTGTGTTGTCTTAAGTCACCAAGTTTGTGGTAATTTGTTATAGCAGAAGTAGGAAATTAATTCAGCAGCCTGTCCACTTACTGCTGTGTGATTCTAGACACACTCTTAAACTCTTTGAGCCTCAGTTTATCATCTGTAAAATGAACACCCTCTTCTGTGTGTGTGTGTTTTTAAACAACTGGAAATAAAACATCTAAAGCATCTGCCTTAGTGCCTGTAGTATAATAGGTGCCAAGCAAATAAACAGAAGGCATTCTTATTATGTATTATTGATAATTTAATTCCTCTACACCATAAAAGATTGAAGACATAAGAACACAAACCATGAACCATGAACCAATGACAAAATAGAACTGGAGATTTATATTCAATGAAAAAAATAAGTAAGGGTAGAAATTCGGTTCAAGGAAAAGACCACATGTGTAGGCAATATGGATTTTAGGAATTGTTCCACGTGAGCTTCAAATTTGGCACTGAGTTTCCTGGCTGCCAAAGTGAAAAGGGAGATATGTCAAGTTTTATACTTTTCAATAACAAAGAGAGGGAAGAATCTAATTACCCAAGGAAAGCAAAACTTTTCTTAGTACCATAAGAAATATCTCCCTATATTTTTCCTTTGGCTTGCTTAGTACAAGTACAGTCAGCTAGTTGTGTGATTATCTATTTAAATCTGTCTCCTCTTACTAAACTAATTATTCTCAACCTTGGCTTCACACTAAAACCACCCAGGACCTTTTAAAAATAACAATGCCCGGTTCTGCTTCAAACTAATTACATCTGAATCTCTGGGAGTGGAGCTGACATCAGTATTTTTTAAAAGCTTCCCAGGTGGTTCTGGTGGCAGCCAGGGTTGAAAAAGCACTTTGCTTTATTGTTTTCTCCCTCAAGGTAGTAACTGGATCTGCTTATTGACAACTTTATCCCCAACACCTAGCCTAGTGCCTGGCACTTAGTAGGTCCTCAGTGGGTCTTTTTAATTAATTCTTTTGGCACAGGTAGACTATTCACCTGATTTTTAAAATATCAAAAGGTATACAGTGGAATGTCTTCCTCCTTACCTTTTATTCATCTAGTTCTCACTTCTCCCCAGTCACCTAGTCCAGGGGGTCATTGTTATAGTTTATTCCAGGATAACTTTATGCAAAGATAAGTAAAATTGAATATATATATGTATATACACACACACACACACACACACACACACACACACACACACATACATATGCATACCTTGTTAAATACACACATATGTGTCCGTTTAAGTACTGTTGAGTTATTGGCCCTAATCCTTTACTCTCTGATGGTGTTATACAGGCACACCCTTAACAGAGCTCATGCTAGGTAGAGTGTTCTTTGCACCTTGACTTTGGGCTTGGTCATGTGACTTGCTTTGGCCAATTGGATGTTAGCTGATAACGTTGAGAGTCTTGAAATGTTTTTGTGTGATTGATCTTGCCCTCTTGAGCTCCATGATCCCTCGTGAGAAGAGCATGCCCTGGTTAACTATTATCCCTTCAGCCTGGCCCTTGAATGAAAAGGGAGGAACAGACTAAACAGCACCTGTAGCTTGCAGCTGAGAGAAGAGCCGCCCTGCTGAGCCCTGCCTTTTCATGAGCTCTTATGAAAAATTCCTATCTAGTTGCTATCAGCAGAGCCCCAACTAGCTCTCAGATCTATGAGCATGAGAATAAACAATTACTTTTTAAAAAACTTTTGCAGTGATTTATTAGGCAGCATTACTGGGGGAATGCCATATCCTTTATGCCTTGTTATTTGCTAATATGTCATGTAAATCTTTCTAAATCAGTAAATCTCATCCTATCTTTTAAAAAAGTGGTACATGGGGTAGAGAGTCAAAGGCTGGTTAACTGACACAAAAGTACTGCCAGATAGGAGAAATAAGTGCGAAGAAATATGGGGTGACTATAATTAATAACAATTTATTGTATAGTCTCAAATAACTAAAAGAGAGGATTTTGAATGTTCCCAACACAAAGAAATGATAAATGTTTGAGGTGAGGAATATGCTGATTACCCCTATTTGGTCATTACACATTGTATACATGTGTAATGTATTATTGACATCACACATCACGCTTTTTTTTTTTGAGATGGAGTTTCACTCTTGTTGCCCAGGCTGGAGTACAATGGTGTAATCTCACTCACCACAACCTCCGCCTCCCTGGTTCAAACAATTCTCCTGCCTCAGCCTCCAAAGTAGCTGGGATTACAGGTATGCACCACCACGCCCAGCTAATTTTGTATTTTTGGTAGAGACAGGGTTTCACTTTGTTGGTCAGGCTGGTCTCAAACTCCTGACCTGAGGTGATCCACCTGCCTTGGCCTCCCAAAGTGCTGGGATTACAGGCATGAGCCCACACTTTTTAAAATTAAAATTTTTTTACCCTACTTGCAAGCTAAAATATCACACTCTACACCATAAATATGTACAATTATGATATCTAAATTAAACATAATAAAAGCAAAAAACTCTATAGAATACTATTGTTTGGATACACTAATCACCTATTCAAAGACATCTAGGTTGTTCCCAGTATCTAGCTCTTACACTTCTTCAGTGAATAACCCTGCATCTACATCATTTTGTGCAAGTCCAAACATTTCTTTAGGATAAATTCCCAGAAGAGGAATTGCTGTGTCAAAAAATATATGCATTCATAATTTTGATAGATATTGTCAAATTACACTGCATAGGAACACTCCTACCAGTAATGTCTGAGAATACACAGTTCCCCACAGCCTTGCCAGCAAAAAGTATTATTAACCTTTCCAATTTTTGCCCACCTGATGGGGAAAATACTATTTCAGTGTAGTTTTACTTTGCATTTCTCTTATTTGAGTGAGACTGAGCATCTTTTCAAATGCGTACGAGCCATGTGTGTTTTCTTTTCTATGAACTCTCTATTCATTACCCTTCAGCCATCTTTCTCTTAGATTGTCTTTTTCTTATTGATTCCCTCAATACATATTTGCTGAATAGACAAATGAATGAAATAAAATGAATTTAAATAGAGGACACTGAATACTATGGTTCAACGTCCCAAATAAAACTGGAAAGATGCAAGAACAGATTTGACATGGCTGTGGCTTTTCATCGCGTTCTTTGATAAAAAGCCAAAGATCTCACATTTAAATGCCTTTCCTGATGGACAGCTCTGCAAGAGGCTGAGGTAACAAGGTCCAAGTTAGTAGCCTTCTGCGGCAAAGAGCTGAGAATTTCCAGGGGCTGTCATAGACCTCAGTAGGACATTCAATGGGAGTGGAGGACTACTATAATTAACAATTTATTATATATTCTCAAATAACTAAAAGAGAGAATCTTGAATGTTGCCCAACACAAAGAAATGATAAAAGTTTGAGGTGATGAATATGCTGATTACCCCGATTTGGTCATTACACGTTGTATACATGTATTGAGATATCACACTTTTCAAAATTAAAAAAAATTTTACTCAACTTGCAAGCTAAAATATCACACTGTACCCCATAAATATGTGCAATTATGATATATCAATTAAACATAATAAAGGCATAAAACTGTACAGAACTGATACAGAGCCCTCTCCCAGGGCTAAGAAGACCTCCTTTGTTCTCTGAGATGGGTGGTAGAGAGTGGGTCTATAGGCTTTAGGTACCAGATGAGCAGGTGGCAGGTTAACATCCTACTGGGAACATTAAGAGGTGAATCTGGGCTCTCACCTGGATGGAAGGTGTCACACTCAGCTTGTGTACTTTTCAGAAGCCAGGCACGTGCCTCACTTTCTGGCCAGAGTGAGCTAGTAACAGCTTGTGTTCTCATTGTCTTAAAGACAATGTTGCCACCATCCTGCTGTGGCAGCTGCTCTAGTCCCTTGTATCACTCATAGAAATGGCCCAGAATTACCCACCCTCATGCTGGTGCTGTATACCTCTCCCCTCTGCCCTGGAGTTTTCCTGTTCCACCAAGGCATGAAGTACTGTAGAATCCAGTTGCTCCCCACTCATATGAAATCCAGAAGTGTAGGGGAGCTGGAGGAGAGCTCAATGGAAGATGAGAGCTCGTGGATATTCCTGCCTCTAAATGGGTGGTTCAAAGATGCAGCTTCTCTGAAGACATCTGCAATACCAGGCAACTGACCAGCTCCATCATCCACTTCCTTTTGTCTCTTTTTTTCCTCACTCTTACTTCCCTGGGATTGCATTCCCCAATACAGTGTCAGTCCAGAATGCTTTTGCCTGGGCTCTATTTTCTAGAGAACCTCTGTTAAGACAGAAAGTAAACTCATTTTCCTCCAGAGGTGGGGGTTTCTAAACATTCCATATGTGACATCCAGGTCCTAAAAGCAAAATGGCTTGTGGGATGACCGTGAGGAAGGTTTAAAAGAAAAGCCCACTATTTATTGAGCACCTACTATGTGAGAACTTTATGCTAAATGTTCCAATTGCTATTTCATTTAATTCTCACAATATCCCTATGGATTTTTACTACCATAATTTTACCAATAAATGAGAGTTTGGATTTTAAGTCACTTATTCAAGCTAGTCAGTGATTGAGCTGGGCTTTCAACCTAGTTCTGCTGAGCTCCAAACCAGTACTCATGTGATTCAAAAGTCACACAAAATGCTATAATGCACTTGAAAAAATGCCTTAACAGAGGAAGTCACCTAAGTGTATCTAGTTGTAGGCTCTCTCTTCTGTTTTATAGGTGTAACACAGTATTAATATGTGCCTTACAGATGGGTGTCCCATTGTGCTTTCCAAGTTTTCCAAGTTTTCTACCAACCCAGGAGGACAGAAATATGGCGCTTCCTGGTCATGAATAAATCCTCTTAATAAAAAGCAGAAACTAAAGCTCAGAGATCCTAGAGGGTTTTCCAAAACCCACACAACTTGTGGTCACTGGAAATAGACCTGGACTTTTTGTGCCCCAGTTTAGTGATGTTTCTATAGCCCCATCCTGTTTTCAATTGAACACATGTGTGATTGCGGTCACTGCCTTAGAAATTGTTTTGAAAGCATGCAACAGTGAGAATTCAAACAAAACAAAACACCATAGTGTAAAAAATAAGTCTTGAATCCTCCATTCGTGTGTGTTTGTGTGTGTTTGTGTGTGTGTGTGTATCCTTTTGGAGTTATTCTATGAACATACTGGCATATATGTTAAATAGGACACCACTGAAAACACACAGAAGGCAGGTCATTGTCCCACACCTTGCTTGGAGATGGTTCTATTTCATTGCATGACAATTGCCTCTCTGGTCTGAGGAGCCTTCGTTTCCTGGTTTGGATGAACCATAAGTCATTGGACTGATCCGCCACTCAGAACAATCAGGTTGTCTTCTGCCTCCTGTTGTGCATTTGTAATTAGAGAGTGCTGCTTGATGAATGAGAGGACAGGAGAGTGAAGGACTTGCCCAAGGTTGCACAGCTTAAGGTGGTAAAGCTGGGATTTGAACACAGATCTCCTGACCCTGGTCCACCTTGTTTTCTGCTCACTTCACAAAACTGCAGGAGTATGGTCCCTAACTCCAAAAGGTGAGATTAAAGGATAGGTGTGGACAAATGAGGAACCTTGGGCCCTCAGTATCAGGGGCTATGAAGGGGTTGTCTAGCCCCTGCTTCTGGTGTCTTCCTCAGCCATTCTAACTCTGGCAGGGTCACAGCCACCACTACATCTCTTCTGGTGCGTATGTCCTTCTGCTCTGCTCCAGCACAGCAGCTCAGCACACCCCAGGACACCCCTCTAGATTCCTTCCAATGACAGGTAAGTCATTGATCAGCCCTGAGAACCAGCTGAGAGCAGGATCTATTTAAAGCAGCATATGTTTCCAGGTGCTGAGTCACGTCGGCTGGACCAGCCGGCCCGACCAGCCGGCCTGTCTGGGCAGTGCGGATATTCACGGTACAGCAGCCACTGCAGCCTGGCTTAGACTTTGACAAACCTGAGGAAGCTCTGAGCTGAAACACCACATTTAATAAGATAAAACACACATTGAGCCCCACATCAGTTTCTAGATTTTAAGCGTGGGTATTCTCATTACCTCCCCACTGACCACCATTTTTTGTTGTAATGATGATCAATTAGCCAAAATTGCGTTCATGGAGACCCAGATTTAAATCCTAGCTCTGCTGCTTACTAGCTGTGTGACCTTGGGCAAGTCAGATAACCTCCCTGGGCCTCATTGTCTTCTTTTGTACAACCTTGTAGGGCATAGGGAGGGACGAATATAGTGATATATAGGAAGTCCATGTCATAGCCTGTAGTATGTAGTAAACATTTAGCAACTGATAGCAAATTAAATTAAGTATGTGTTCAGCACTATGCTAGGCATGGTAGGAGAATATCAAATACAGTGCAGCATGATGCTGGCTCTCATGAAAAGTTGCAATCTAGTTGTTAAAGAAGATATACACTTGTGAAGTTATAATGAACATATATGAACAGTGCAACATTCAGATAGTCTTTGAGGACCTGCTTTGGTTCAGGCAAGGCACTGACTGAGGCTCTGGGCAAGTATAAATGGCTCCTGAGAGGACATGTTTACTCAGTGGCATGGGAATCCAGGTCAATGAGCAGCTAATTCTGCCAGGGACATTTGGGAGAAACTTCTGAAAGGAAGAAAAGATGGCAAATCCATGGCATGGGGGACATCAGTCTCCATTCTCTGCGCATGGCAGCCATCGATAATCAGTCACGGCTCTCTGCATCCTTCTCAACACAGTGATGACCCTCTGCATCCTTCTCAACACAATGATGACCCCCGCCCCCAACCCACTGCATTCCTTTCAACACAATGTTCCAGACAGCCACAACCAATCAATCAACACTGATATGATGAACACTGTTTGCCATCCTTGAGGTTAAAGTTATTTCAAGGTGTTGAAAGGTGTCCACTGGGTCATACAAATAATTAGAGCTATGGGTCTCATGGAAGACAAATAGTCTGGAGGAAGGTATGAGGAACCTTGGAATCTAGTTGCAGCATTGACACTTATATGCCCTGTGAACTCAGGTCATGTAATCTCTTTTATCCTGCTTTCTCTAAGTGATTCTGATTCACAGAGTTCTAAGACAAAGGGATTCCAGTTTGGGTGCTCAAGAAGGCTTATCACAAGAGGTAAGATTTCAGGAGGCTTTGAAGTATGGGCATAATTTACATCAACAGAGAGCAATGTGTGCATGCGTCTGTGTGTGTATTCACATGCACGTGCATTCTAAGAGTATGAGGGAATGTAGTGGGTAGGCAATGGATAGGTTTCAGAATCTACTCTCCTCTACCATCTCCAAAAATGTAAAGCAATCCCCCTCTTTCTGCCAGCAGGCAACACTATGGTGTGAGCCCTGTTCATTGGGAACTGGAGTGGGCTGTCAAGATCACAGTACCAGTCAGGAGACAGAATCATGGAAAAAGTGATGCCGTCCAGGAAAGACTGGGAGTGGGGAGAAGTGTTGCAAGAGGCGGGGCTCCTGGCAGCTGCCTGCTTCTCCTTCCTCTTGCATTCAATTTCCCATTCCCCTGGACAGGCAGCCCATTTGTCTGACTTCTCAGCAGGGTCAGGTCACCCCTGAGCCCACAAGGACACCCGCTGATGGACAAAAGTGCTGTTTGCCATGTAGACCTGTGACCCACAGCTGTGCCTCTGAGGGGCTGTCTTGCATGATGAAACCAGGGGCAAAACCACAGACAGTCTGGCTATAGAGTAAATGCTTGACATTTGGACTCCCTTTTCTGTTTACTTTTCTCATTCCACCTATAAGTCAACGGACCACTTGGCAGAATGGTTTGGACTCCACAAACTGCTTGGGTTCAAATTCTGGCTCTGGCATTTCCAAAATGCAATCATAGGCAAGTAATGCAAACTCTCTGAGCCATAGTTTCCTCATCAATAAAATAGGGGCGATGATAATAGCACTTACTTCATAGAGAGATGTGTGGAATCAGTGGAAAGTATCTATGCAAACACAATGCAGCGTCTGTCATAAATGTTCAATAAGTATTCACTATATTACATTATCTGTTATAGTTTTCCCACTTTTACCTTGTATTTCCCCAACTAGATTATAAGCTACCTGAGGGATGGAACCATCTCTTTTGTACTCCCCAAAGTCTGGGCACAATACTGAGTGTGGAGGTACCCAGAACTTTTGCCAATCATTTAATGTAAAAATAGTAAGTTGTAGAACTTTCTATTGCTTGGAGGAAGTTTAGCCTCCTCCATTTAAGGCTCAGGGATCTTTAGGTTCACATTGACCTTCCCAGACTAATTTCCTATTTCTTTTTACAGAAACCTACCCTTCAGGCACATCAAACTATTTGTGGTTCCCTGAATACACCACCCTCTTTCCTGCTTCTCCTTGCAAACCCCATTTTCTCTGCCTTCCCCCAATCTTATCATTCAAGTCTTTTTAAAATTAGAAATGACATAAATCAAACATAAAGTGGCTGAAGCAGAAAAAAATGTCTATTTGTTCAAATAACTGAAGAATCTAGTGTTACTGGCCTCAGATATGGCTGGATCCAGGGACTCATATTATACCATCAGGACTTTTTGTTTTTGTTAGATCAATTTCCCTTTGTGTTGGCTTCATTCTTAAGTATAGTCATTCTTGCTAGGGGCAAGGTGATCAACTGTTCTGATATACCTCCATCCATTGTAGCAACACCAGGAGAAAGAGAACTCCTTTTTATTTAAGGTTCCAGAGAGAGTCTGAGATGTCCTCTCACTGGACCAGTTTTAGTCATGTGCTCATCCTCCATCCAATCACTGTGGCCAGGAAGAAGGAATATGCTGATCGGACAGATTTGGGTCATGTGACCATCCTCTAGGCAATCAGAGGGACTGAGAGTGGGTCAAAGGTCATTCCCCAAGGAATGTTGGGTACTGAGCAGATAAAAACAACAGGTGCTCCACACAGATGGCAAACGCTTTTCATCCTCTAAGATGAAACTCTGATGTCATCTCAGTGAGGACTGTAAACCATATACTGTCGTGCTATTAGCCCACAATTCATAGAATTTTAAGTAACTCTCCCT